>NC_000017.11:1551717-1703232 GCF_000001405.40 Homo sapiens | reverse complement strand
TACCATGGTGAGCCAGTGAAACTTGAGGAAGGCAGGACTGGATTGTGATTACAACTGAGTAAGTAGGCAGAGAATTGGAGTGTGGGCAACATAAAGATGATGTGAATCAAAGAAGAATGGTCAATTAAGACCCTAAAAAAAGGACGTTCAAAAATGCAGAGGTTAAAAAAAAAAAAAGCAGAGATTGCCAGATGCTCCATTTGGTAGGAGTCTGCTTAGCACAGTGGTGCTTCGCCAGACTTTACCGTGGCCCAGGGAAATGGTCCTCAAGACGGACTCCATGTCTACCAAGCTACTTGCTAATGATTTCTTTGTCCTCCAGGACAGGGAAGGGGCTTTTCTGGATGGGATACATTGATATTTTATGGCCTTGAAACACTATCCTGATTATAAATTAATAAATTGCTATGCAAATAATTGCATTAGTTGCATCAATCTCTTATGAGCGTGGTTACTTTGAGTTACTTTTTGGCTCCAATGGTGTCCTGATTTACAATTCGATGCTAGATTGTGGAGGCTTTGCCTTGGGAAAGTTTCCACCCTGACGTGTCCTGATACCCTCTATAATCAAAAAGCAACTCCTGGCTGGGTGCAGTGGCTCATGCCTGTAATCCCAGCACTTTGGGAGGCTGAGGCTGGTGGATCACTTGAGGTCAGGGGTTCGAGACCAGCCTGGCCAACATGGTGAACCCTCATCTCTACTAAAAGTATAAAAATTAGCTGGGCGTGGTGGCAGGCGCCTGTAACGCCAGCTACTCGGGAGGCTGAGGCAGGAGAATCATTTGAACTCAGGAGGTGGAGGTTACAGGGAGCTGAGATTGCACCACTGCACTCTAGCCTGGGAGACAGAGCAAGACTGTTTCGAAAAAATAAAAAAAGCAAATCCAGTGTCAGGCGAGTTGGTTGATTCCTGTAATTCCAGCACTTTGGGAGGCTGAGGCTTGGGCCCAGGCGTTCAACACTGGCCTGGGTAACATAGCAAAACCTCATCTTTTTTTTTTTTTTTTTTTTTCTGAGACAGAGTCTCACTCTGCCACCCAGGCTGGAGTGCAGTGGCTCAATCTCAGCTCGCTGCAGCCTCCACCTCCTGGGTTCATACGTTTCTCATGCCTCAGCCTCCCGAGTAGCTGGGACTACAGGCGTGCACCACCACACCTGGCTAATTTTTGTATTTTTAGTAGAGACGGGGTTTCACCATGTTGGCCAGGCTGGTCTCGAACTCCTGACCTCAAGTGATCCGCCCACCTTGGCCTCCCAAAATGCTGGGATTACAGGCGTGAGCCATCACACCCAGCCGGATTCAGAGTTTAGAATGATTTTCTTTTCTTTCTTTTTTTTTGTTTTTTTTGAGATGGAGTCTCGCTCTGTCACCCAGGCTAGAGTGCAGCGGCACGATCTCGGCTCACTGCAAGCTCCGCCTCCCGGGTTCATGCCATTCTCCTGCCTCAGCCTCCCCTCCGCCCGCCCCCCTCCCCCGCGAGTAGCTGGGACTACAGGTGCCCGCCACCACGCCCGGCTAATATTTTGTATTTTTACTAGAGACGGGGTTTCACCGTGTTAGCCAGCATGGTCTCGATCTCCTGACCTTGTGATCCGCCCACCTCGGCCTCCCAAAGTGCTGGGATTACAGGCGTGAGCCACCACGCCCTGCTAATTTTTATATTTTTAGTAGAGATGGGGTTTCACCAAGTTGGCCAGGCTGGTCTCGAACTCCTGACCTCAGGTGATCCACCTGCCTCACCTCCCAAAGTGCTGGGATTACAGGCGTGAGGCACTGCGCCGGGCCTGCAGAATGATTTTCAGTGCCAAGGGTTGAAACCAAAAGAATCTTGTAGCCAAATTAATCCTGAGTCAACAGAAAACTTCATAACTGAACTGTCAAAACTTTATCACATAAAATCTGGATTTTGTTGGGCTGAAAATTAGAAGTCCTCATTTTGCAAAAAACTATGTAAGGGAAGTTACTCTTTAGAGAGGAGCTCTTGTGTTGAAATGAATATTTATTTAGGAGCATCCTCGGCCGAACATTTGTCGTGCCCCTTCCCCATGTCAGGCACCTTTTATTTATTTATTTATTTATTTAATTTTATTTATTTATTTTTGAGACGGAGTTTTGCTCTTGCTGCCCAGGCTGGAGTGCAGTGGCGTGATCTCAGCTCACTGCAACCTCTGCCTTACGATTTCAAGAGATTCTCCTGCCTCAGCCTCCTGAGTAGCAGGGATTACAGGCGCCCGCCACCACGCCCAGCTAATTTTTTTGTATTTTTGGTAGAGACAGGGTTTCACCATGTTGGCCAGGCTGGTTTCAAACTCCTGACCTCGTGATCCGCCTGCCTTGGCCTCCCAAAGTGCTGAGATTACAGGCGTGAGCCACCGTGCCTGGCCATCAGGCACCTTTTACACATTATCCCATTTAATCTCACACAACAGAGCTTCACCTCATCTTTTGTTTTTATTTTTATTTTTTGAGACGGGGTCTCACCCTGTCACCCAGGCTGGAGTACAGTGGTGCAATCGTAGCTCACTGCAGCCTCCAACTCCTGGCTCCTGGGCTCAGGCGATCCTCCTGCCTTAGCCTCCTGAGTAGGTGGGATTACAGACATGCATCACTACACCCAGATACATTTTTTTTTTTTAAATAGAGACAGGGTTTCACCATGTTCCCCAGGCTGGTCTCAAATTGCTGGGCTCAAGCAATCCACCCATCTCAGCCTCCCAAAGTGGTAGGGTTACAGGCATGAGCCACTGCGCCCAGCCATTTTTTTTTAAATTGAGACAGGGTCTCACTCTGTCACCCAGGTTGGAGTGCAGTTGCACAAACATGGCTCACTGCAGCCTTGACCTCCTGGGCTCAAGCGATCCTCCCACCTCAGCCTCCTGAGTAGCTGGGACCACAGGTGTGTGCCACGATGCCTGGCTAATTTAAAAAATCTTTTTTTATTTTTCCAGAGATGGGGTCTTACCATGTTGCCCAGGCTGGTCTCCAACTCCCGGCCTCAAGCAATTCTCCTCCCTTGGCCTCTCAAAGCGCTGAGATTATAGGTGTGAGAGGGAGTCTCACCATGTTGCCCAGGCTGGTCTGGAATCCCTGGGCTCAAGTGATCCTCTTGCCTTGGCCTCCCAAAGTGCTGGGATACACGCATGAGTCACTGCACCTGTTCTCATTCCATCTTTCAGATGAAAAAACAAACAGGCTGGGGCATGGTGGCTCATGCCTGTAATCCCAGTACCTTGGGAGGCCGAGGCAGGCGGATCACTTGAGGCCAGGAGTTTGAGACCAGACTGGCCAACATGGTGAAATCCTGTCTTTACTAAAAATACAAAAATAACTAAGGTGAGGCCGGGCGCGGTAGCTCACGCCTGTAATCCCAGCACTTTGGGAGGCCGAGGCGGGCGGATCGCGAGGTCAGGAGATCAAGACCATCCTGGCTAACACAGCGAAACCCCATCTCTACTAAAAATACAAAAAAATTAGCCGGGCGTGTTGGTGGGCACCTGTGGTCCCAGCTGCAGCTGAGGCAGGGGAATGGCGTGAACCTGGGAGGCGGAACTTGCAGTGAGCTGAGATCGTGCCACTGCACTCCAGCCTGGACAACAGAGTGAGACTCCATCTCAAAAAAAAAAAAATTAGCTAGGTGTGGTGGCAGGTCCCTGTAGTCCCACCTACTTGGGAGGCTGAGGCAGGAGAATAGCTTGAACCCCAGAGGTGGAGGTTGCAGTGAGCCAAGATCGCGCCACTGCACTCCAGCCTGGGCAACAGAACAAGACTCCATCTCAAAAAAAAAAAAAGATTATCCAGTCTGTTCTTTTCATTTTGCAGAGAATTGAAGGAACTGAAGCCTAGAGAGGTTAAGTGACTTATCCAAGCATACTCAGCTAGTCTGTAGCACAGCCCGAATCAGAATCGAGGTCTTTGGTTTGGTTCAGGGCTCTTTCCTATACACTATTTTGCCTCTTTCTTTATAGAAAGGCCACAGAGTGGAGAAATTTCAAGGTAGAAAGGTAGGAGTCAGCTGACAACTAAACATCCATCAAGTCGGATAAATTGCCTCTGAAGTGATATATATAAGTCAGGGTGTTTCAGTTTGAAAGGCAGACTCTAGGCTGGGCACGGTGGCTCACGCCTGTAATCTCAGCACTTTGGGAGGCCGAGGCTGGCAGATCATGAGGTCAGGAGAGCGAGACCATCCTGGCTAACACAGTGAAACCCCGTCTCTAATAAAAATACAAAAAATTAGCCGGGCATGGTGGCGGGCGCCTGTAGTCCCAGCTACTCAGGAGGCTGAGGCAGGAGAATGGAGTGAACCCAGGAGGCGGAGCTTGCAGTGAGCCGAGATGGTGCCACTGCACTCCAGCCTGGGCGATAGAGCGAGACTCTGTCTCAAAAAAAAAAGGCAGACTCCTATGGTCAAGTATTGATTTCTGCACTTTTCAGGAATGCAGTAATTGTGGAGGGCAGAGGTTCATTTCAGCTTTCCTCTGTAGACATGAACATCACTTAGCTTGGTACTGTGGAACATATACTTTTTTTTTTTTTTGAGACGGAGTCTCACTCTGTTGCCCAGGCTGGAGTGCAGTGGCATAATCTCGGCTCTCTGCAACCTCCACCTCCCGGGTTCAAGTGATTCTCCTGCCTCAGCCTCCCGAGTAGCTGGGACTACAGGCACATGCCACCATGCCCAGCTAATTTTTTGTATTTTTAGTAGAGACGGGGTTTCTTTGTTTTTTGTTTTTGTTTTTGTTTTTGTTTTTTTGGAGATGGAGTCTGAAGCCCAGGCTGGAATGCAGTGGCGAGATCTTGGCCCACTGCAGGCTCTGCCTGCCAGGTTCCATTCTCCTGCCTCAACCTCCCGAGTATCTGGGACTCTAGGCGCCAGCCACCACACCCGGCTAATTTTTTGTATTTTTAGTAGAGACGGGGTTTCACTGTGTTAGCCAGGATGGTCTCGATCTCCTGACCTCGTGATCTGCCTGTCTCGGCCTCCAAAAGTGCTAGGATTACAGGCATGAGCCACCGCACCCAGCCGGAGATGGGGTTTCAGCATGTTAGCCAGGATAGTCTCCATCCTCTGACCTCATGATTCGCCCGACTTAGCCTCCCAAAGTGCTGGGATTACAGGCTCGAGCCACTGAGCCCGGCCGATAGTAAATAATTTCTTTGGCTGAGGCTTTGCCCCTCACTCTGGCCTGCCAGTCTGTGCCCTTAAGAGCACTCCCTCATCTCCTAAACCTTCACCGGTTGGCATTGCTAATCCTGGGGCTTGAGAGGCTGGCATGGCAACTCTCTCTGCCTCAGATCCCAGGTCAGGGCACTGCTAGAAGAGGATAGAGAAGCCTGCAGAACTGGAGGGCCACAAATTCCTGCTGCACTGACGCAGGCCAGCCCTGCTACCTAGCTATTCACTTGCTCTCCTTACGGCTTGTCCAAACATCGTTTTCTTCAAACTCCTCCCCTTCCTTCCCCAACCCCGACTGTGTGGAATCCAAATATTTCCACCTCAACAGCAAACAGGAGTGGGGTGCTGGGGAGATGGAGGAGATGGGGGAGGGAAACAGTCTAGGGCCACTGCAGCAGCATTTCCTTGAAATATGTTGAATCTAAAAATTCATATAAGTCCGGCTGCGGTGGCTCACGCCTATAATCCCAGCAGTTTGGGAGGCCAAGGCGGGAAGATGACTTGAGTCCAGAAATTTGAGACCAGCCTGGGCAATATAGTGAGAGCCCCATCTCTACAAATAATAAAAATATTAGCCAGGTGGTCAGGTGCGGTGGCTCATGCCTATAATCCCAGCACTTTTGGGAGGCCGAGATGGGTGGACTGCCTGAGCTCAGGAGTTTGAGACCAGCCTGGGCAACATGGTAAAACCTCGTCTCTACTAAAATACAAAAAATAAAATAAAATAAAATAAAATAAAATAAAATAAAATAAAATAAAATAAAATAAAATTAGCTGGGCGTGATGGCAGGCTCCTGTAGTCCCAGCTACTCGGGAGGCTGAGGCAGGAGAATTGCTTGAACCCAGGAGGCGGAGATTGCAGTGAGCCGAGATCGTGCCACTGCACTCCAGTCTGGCAGACAGAATGAGACTCCATCTCAAAAAAAAAAAAAAAAAAAGCCAGGCACAGTGGTACACATCTACAGTCCTAGCTACTCAGGAGGCTCAGGTGGGAGGTCACTCAGCCTCCTGGAGTTGGAGGCTACAGTAAGTCATGATTGTGTCCTGCACTCCAGCCTGGGCAACAGTGGAGTCTGGAGTCTGTCTGTAAAAAAAATTAAAAAGATAAAATAAAATACCATTTCAAATACAATTACAATACTTGTTTTTAAAAAAAATTTTACAAAATGACAAGTGAAACTGTCAATTTTTTTTTCTTTTTTTTTTTTTTTGAGACGGAGTCTCGCTCTGTCGCCCAGGCTGGAGGGCAGTGGTGCGATCTCGGCTCACTGCAAGCTCCGTCTCCCGGATTCACACCATTCTCCTGTCTCAGCCTCCCGAGTAGCTGGGACTACAGGCGCCTGCCACCACGCCCAGCTAATTTTTTGTACATTTAGTAGAGACGGGGTTTCACCATGTTAGCCAGGATGGTCTCGATCTCCTGACCTCGTGATCTACCCGCTTCGGCCTCCCAAAGTGCTGGGATTACAGGCGTGAGCCACCGTGCCTGGCCCCACGCCTGGCTAACTTTTTTTGTATTTTTAGTGGAGACGGGGTTTCACCGTGTTAACCAGAATGGTCTCGATCTCCTGACCTCATGATCTGCGCGCCTCGGCCTCCAAAAGTGCTGGGATTACAGGCGTGAACCACCGCGCCCGGCCCAATTTTATGATTTAAGGAAGATGTGCCAATTTACTCTGTGGCTCCAAGTATCACTGGGACAGTTCATTTTTCTTTATTCTCTGTCTTTTTTTTGTTTGTTTTTTTGAGATGGAGTTTTGCTCTTGTTGCCCAGGCTGGAGCACAATGGTGCGATCTTGGCTCACTACAACCTCTGCCTCCTGTGTTCAAGCGATTCTCCTGCCTCAGCCTCCCGAGTAGCTGGGATTACAGGCACCTGCCACCATGCCCGGCTGTTTTTTATATTTTTAGTACAGACTAGGTTTCACCATATTGGCCAGGCAGGTCTTGAACTGGTCTCAAGTGATCTGCCCGCCTTGGCCTCCTAAATTGCTGGGATTACAGGCGTGAGCTACCGCACCCAGACTTTATTCTCTTTTTTTTTTTTTTTTTTGAGACGGAGTTTCGCTCTTGTTGCCCAGGCTGGAGCGCAATGGCGCTATTTTGGCTCACGGCAACCTCCGCCTCCCAGGTTCAAGCAATTCTTCTGCCTCAGCCTTCCGAGTAGTTGGGATTACAGGCACCAGCCACCATGCCCGGCTAATTTTTTGTGTTTTTAGTAGAGACGGGGTTTCAGCATGGCCAGGCTGGTCTTGAACTTCTGACCTCAGGTGATGCGCCCACCTCGGTCTTCCAGAGTGCTGGGATTACAGGTGTGAGCCACCTCGCCCAGCTGACTTTATTCTCTTTATAACAAATATTTATAAAGGGCCTACGACATGCCAAGCACAAACTATGAGGTGTAATAGTGAGTCAATGAACCAGAGCCCTGGCATCAGAGAGCCTGCACTCAGGACTGTGTTAGAGAGTGAGGAACTGAGAAAGTAGGAGTCATTCGGCAGAGGGAAACCAGGGGTGACAGATACAGAAACAGGTCATCCTTGGCCGGGTGCGTTGGCTCACGCCTATAATCCTAGCACTTTGGGAGGCCGAGGCAGACGGATCACTTGAGGTCAGAGGTTCAAGACCAGCCTGGTCAACATGGGGAAACCCTGTCTCTACTAAAATTACAAAAATTAGCCAGATGTGGTGGTATGCACCTGTAATCCCAGCTACTCAGGAGGCTGAGGTGGGAGAATCGCTTGAACCCAGGAGGCAGAGGTTGCAGTAAGCCAAGATTGCACCACTGCACTCCAACCTGGGTGACAGAGTGAGATCCTGTCTCTCAAAAAAAAAGGAAAAGAAAAAGAAACTGAAGAAACAGGTCATTCAAGTACCTGTAGCCTGAGAATGAGCAGATGAATCTAGAGGATGGGATGGTTGCATTCTGACATCCAAAGGGTTCTCCAGAACCCGACTCAGGCGCTTTCCTTCCAAACCTGCATCCAGTCCACTCAGTCTGTGCATGACCCTGCCATCGACGCACTGTGCAAATCGGGAACTGAGGAGTCGTCCCTGAACAATGCCACCCACCTCCCACCACAGATGCACACTTCCAGTTATTGCAGGACGGCTTTCCCACCCATCCATCCTTTCCATCTCCGCTGTCCCATCTGGTCCGAGTCACCATCATCTCTAGTCTAAGCGACATAATAATGGCTGGCCGGGCAGGGTGGCTCATGCCTGTAATCCCAGCACTTTGGGAGGCCAAGGCGGGCGGATCACGAGGTCAAGAGATCGAGACCATCCTGGCTAACACGGTGAAACCATGTCTCTACTAAAAATACAAAAAATTAGCTGGGCGTGGTGGCGGGCGCCTGTAGTCCCAGCTACTCGGGAGGCTGAGGCAGGAGAATGGCATGAACCTGGGAGGCGGAGCTTGCAGTGAGCAGAGATCGCACCACTGTACTCCAGCCTGAGCGACAGAGTGAGACTCTGTCTCAAAAAATAAATAAATAAAATAATAATAATAATAGTAATGATAATAATAATAATAATAATGGCCTCGTAACTATTCTCCACAGAACAGCCAGTCTGTGATTGTCACGATGCAAATCTGATCATGTCATTCCCAGTAGCTCTTCCTACTTCTTAAGAAAGAAGCATAACTCATCACATGGTCTGTGGCCTTCCAAGGGCTCCCCTCTTGTCCACTCACCAGACTCAGGGTACTTCCTATTTCATTCTTTTTTTTTTTTTTTTTTTGAGACAGAGTCTCACTCTGTTGCCCAGGTTGGAGTGCAGTGGTGTGATCTCAGCTCACTGCAGCCTCTGCCTCCTGGGTTCAAGCAATTCTCCTGCCTCAGCCTCCTGGGTAGCTGGGATTACAGGCACCTCCCACCACACCTGGCTAATTTTTGTATTTTTAGTAGAGATCAGGTTTCACCATGTTGGCCGGGCTGGTCTCGAACTCCCAACCTCAGATGATCTGCCCACCTCTGCCTCCCAAAGTGCTGGGATTACAGGCATGAGCCACTGTGTCCGGCCCACTCTTGTTTTTTGAGACGGGGTTGTGCTCTGTCACTCAGGCTGAATTGCAGTGGTGCGACCTCGGCTCACTACAACCTCTGCCTCTCAGGTTCAAGCGATCCTCCCACCTCAGCCTCCTGGGTAGCTGGAACTACAAGTGCACACCACACGCCCAGCTGATTTTTTTTCTTTGTATTTTTAGTAAAGATGGGGTTCTGCCATGCGGACCCGGCTGGTCTTCAACTCCAGGACTCAAGTGATCTGCCCACCTTGGCCTCCCAATGTGTTGGGATTACAGGCGTGAGCCACCACACCCAGCCCGTTTCAGTCTCTGTGGCCTTAGTTCATTTATTAAATACACCATGCTCCTTCCTTATTCAGAAATCTATTCCTATTTCATTGCCCAGCGCCTGGTAGGCTTTCCTTCTCCCTCACTTCCATCTTCCTGGCTTCCCTCCTCCTACTCACTCCCTTTGTCTTACACATTCTCATTTTGCAGTGCTTATTTACAACATCTCCTCTTTTTTTTTTGAGACGAAGTCTCACTCTGTCACCAGGCTGGAATGCAGTGGTGTGATCTCAGCTCACCGCAACCTCTTCCTCCTGGGTTCATGCGATTTACTGCCTCAGCCTCCCTAGTAGCTGGGATTACAGGCACCCGCCACCACGCCTGGCTAATTTAGTGTTTTTAGTAGAGACAGGGGTTTCACCACGTTGGCCGGGATGGTCTCGAACTCCTGACCTTTTGATCTGCCCACCTCAGCCTCCTAAAGTGCTGGGATTACAGGCATGAGCCACTGCACCCGGCCTTTTTTTTTTTCAAATTCAGACAGGATCTCATTCTGTTGCCCAGGCTGGAGTGTAGTCTCCAGTACAATCTTGGCTCACTGCAGCCTCCACTTGCTGGGCTCCAGCCATCCTTCCACCTCAGGCCTGAGTAGCGGGGACTACAGGCGTGAGACACCATACCTGGCAAATTTTTGTATTTTTTGTGTTGAGGTTTCGTCATGTTGCCCAGGCTGGTCTTGAACTCTTGACCTCAAGTGATCCTCCTGCCTTCGTCTCCCAAAGTGCTGGGATTACAGGAGTGACCCACGGCAACATCTCTTTTCCCAAAAAAACTTCTATGACTCTTTTCATAAAATCAGGTGAGATCTCTGGACTTCTCATTGGAAGCACTTACTATAATTTTAATTGAAGAGCCAATTATGGACATTTAAAGGAAGCCCCTAACATGAAATAAACTTTTTTAAAAGAAGATGAAGAAAAAGAAAAACACGGATAAAGCAAACAGTATGCCTGGAGAATAAAACTTCAGAAAAGCTATTTTCCTTATAGAGACAAGAGAGTATGTTGTAGCCATGAAACAAGAACATGATCCTACAAAAGAAGAACTAAAAAGAGGTGGGTGCGGTGGCTCACGTCTGTCATCCCAGCACTTCAGGAGGCCGAGGCGGGTGGATCATGAGGTCAGGAGTTCAAGACCCTCCTGGCCAACATGGTGAAACCCCGTCTCTACTAAAAATACAAACAATAGCTGGACGTGGTGGCAGGCGCCTGTAACCCCCAGCTACTCGGGAGGCCGAGGCAGGAGAATCGCTTGAACCCAAGAGGCGGAGGTTGTGGTGAGCCGAGATTGCGCCACTGCACTCCAGCCTGGGCGACAGAGCAAGACTCCGTTTTTTTTAAAAAAAAAAAAACTAAGAAAGAGTACTTAGTATTTGGAAATGAAAAGTGTGACACTTGATGGAAATGAAAAGTTCATGGAGGAGTTGGAAGAAAGTCTCCCGGAAAGAAGAGTAATGATGGGGATAGAATTAGAAAAGATGAGACAATCGTGGGACCAGTCCAAAAGACCCAACATCAAAATAACGGAAGATCCAGAAAGAGCAAACTGAGAAAAGAAAAAAATGAAAATCGTCAATTAAATAATGAGATATGGCCGGGTGTGGTGGCATGCGCCTGTAATCCCAGCCACTCAGGAGGCTGAGGCAGGAGAATAAAGTCCAACTCATCAAGCTTCTCTCTCTTTTTTTTTTTCATTTTTTCCTGAGATGGAGTTTCGCTCTTGTTGCCCAGGCTGGATTGCAATTGCATGATCCCAGCTACTCTCCAGAGTCTGAGGTAGAAGAAGCACTTGAACCCCAGAGGCAGAGGTTGCAGTGAACCCAGATCGCGCCATTGCACTCCAGCCTGGGCAACAGAGCGAGACTCCATCTCAAAAAAAAAAAAAAAAAAAAAAAAAAGTCCAGGCGCCGTGGCCCACATCTGTAATTCCAGCACTTTGGGAGGCCAAGGGGGACAAATCACAATGTCAGGAGTTCAAGACCAGCCTGGCCAACATGGTGAAACCCCATTTCTATTAAAAAGACAAAAAATAGCTGGGCTTGTGATGGCAGGAACCTATAATCCCAGCTGCTTGGGAGACTGAGGCAGGAGAATCGCTTGAACCCGGAAGGCAGAGGTTGCAGTGAGCCGAGATTGTGCCATTGCACTCCATGCACTAACTCCAGCCTGGGCGACAGGGCGAAACTCCATCTCAAAAAAAAAAAAAAAAAAAAAAAAGGCCGGGCGCGGTGGCTCACGCCTGTAATCCCAGCACTTTGGGAGGCCTAGGCGGGTGGATCATGAGGTCAGGAGATCGAGACCATCCTGGCTAACACGGTGAAACCCAGTCTCTACTAAAAATACAAAAAAAAAATTAGCTGGGCATGATGGCGGGTGCCTGTAGTCCCAGCTACTCGGGAGGCTGAGGCAGAAGAATGGCGTGAACCCTGGAGGCAGAGCTTGCAGTGAGCTGGGATCACACCACTGCACTCCAGCCTGGGCGACAGGGCGAGACTCCATCTCAAAAAAAAAAAAAAGAATGGGTAAAGGATCTGAATACATATTTATCCAAAGACGATATACATGCCATAACAATATAACAAGTATGAACCTCAAAAACATCATAAAACATCATGCTGGCCAGGCTTAGTGACATGCACCTGCAGTCTTAGCTATTCTAGAGGCTGAAGTGGGAGGACCCTTTGAGCCCAGGAGTTTGAGGTTATAGTGAGCTATGATAGCACCAATGTACTTGAGCCTGGATGACAGAGTGAGACCTTCATTTCTAAAAAACAAATAACAACAACAACATCAACCACAAAACCATTATGCCAAGTAAAAGCAGACAACCACACACAAAAAAATTCATTATTCTATCATACCATTTATATAAAATGTTGAGAACAGGTGAATCTATAGAGATGGAAAACAGAAAAGTAGTTGCCTAGGGCTGAGGAATAGGAGGTAGGAGGAAATGGGGGAGCGAATGTGTAGAAGATTTCTTTGCTCTCTCCCTCTCCCTCTCCCTCTCCCTCTCCCTCTCCCTCTCCCTCCTCTCCCTCTCCCTCTCCCCACGGTCTCCCTCTCCCTCTCTTTCCACGGTCTCCCTCTCCCTCTCTTTCCACAGTCTCCCTCTCATGCTGAGCCGAAGCTGGACTGTACTGCTGCCATCTCGGCTCACTGCAACCTCCCTGCCTGACTCTCCTGACTCAGCCTGCCGAGTGCCTGCGATTGCAGACTCGCGCCGCCACGCCTGACTGGTTTTGGTGGAGACGGGGTTTCGCTGTGTTGGCCAGGCCGGTCTCCAGCCCCTAACCGCACGTGATCCACCAGCCTCGGCCTCCTGAGGTGCCGGGATTGCAGATGGAGTCTCCTTCACTCAGTGCTCAATGGTGCCCAGGCTGGAGTGCAGTAGCGTGATCTCGGCCCGCTACAACCTCCACCTCCCAGCCGCCTGCCTTGGCCTCCCAAAGTGCCGAGATTGCAGCCTCTGCCCGGCCGCCACCCCGTCTGGGAAGTGAGGAGCATCTCTGCCTGGCCGCCCATCATCTGGGATGTGAGGAGCCCCTCTGCCTGGCTGCCCAGTCTGGAAAGTGAGGAGTGTCTCCGCCCGGCCGCCATCCCACCTAGGAAGTGAGGAGCACCTCTGCCCGGCCGCCATCACATCTGGGATGTGAGGAGCGCCTCTGCCCGGCCGCGACCCCGTCTGGGATGTGAGGAGCACCTCTGCCCGGCCGCCCCGTCTGAGAAGTGAGGAGCCCCTCCGCCTGGCAGCCGCCCCGTCTGGGAAGTGAGGAGCCCCTCCGCCCGGCAGCCGCCCCCTCTGGGAAGTGAGGAGCGTCTCCGCCCGGCAGCCGCCCCATCCGGGAGGGAGGTGGGGGGGTCAGCCCCCCGCCCCACCAGCCGCCCCATCCGGGAGGGAGGTGGGGGGGTCAGCCCCCTGCCCGGCCAGCCGCCCATCCGGGAGGGAGGTAGGGGGGTCAGCCCCCCGCCAGGCCAGCCGCCCCGTCCGGGAGGGAGGTCGGGGCATCAGCCCCCCGCCCGGCCAGCCGCCCCATCCAGGAGGGAGGTGGGGGGGTCAGTCCCCCGCCCGGCCAGCTGCCCCGTCCAGGAGGTGAGGGGCGCCTCTGCCCGGCCGCCCCTACTGGGAAGTGAGGAGCCCCTCTGCCCGGCCAGCCGCCCCATCCGGGAGGGAGGTGGGGGGGTCAGCCCCTCGCCTGGCCAGCCGCCCCGTCCGGGAGGGAGATGGGTGGGGGGGTCAGCCCCCCGCCCGGCCAGCCGCCCCGTCCGGGAGGTGAGGGGCGCCTCTGCCCGGCCGCCCCTACTGGGAAGCGAGGAGCCCCTCTGCCCGGCCAGCCGCCCCGTCCGGGATGGAGGTGGGGGGGTCAGCCCCCCGCCCGGCCAGCCGCCCCATCCGGGAGGTGAGGGGCGCCTCTGCCCGGCCGCCCCTACTGGGAAGCGAGGAGCCTCTCTGCCCGGCCAGCCGCCCCATCTGGGAGAGAGGTGGGGGGGTCAGCCCCCCGCCCGGCCAGCCCCCCCATCCGGGAAGTGAGGGGCGCCTCTGCCCGGCCGCCCCTACTGGGAAGTGAGGAGCCCCTCTGCCCGGCCACCACCCCGTCTGGGAGGTGTGCCCAACAGCTCATTGAGAACGGGCCAGGATGACAATGGCGGCTTTGTGGAATAGAAAGGCAGGAAAGGTGGGGAAAAGATTGAGAAATCGGATGGTTGCCCTGTCTGTGTAGAAGGAGGTAGACATGGGAGACTTTTCATTTTGTTCTGTACTAAGAAAAATTCTTCTGCCTTGGGATCCTGTTGATCTGTGACCTTACCTCCAACCCTGTGCTCTCTGAAACGTGTGCTGTGTCCACTCAGGGTTGAATGGATTAAGGGCGGTGCAAGATGTGCTTTGTTAAACAGATGCTTGAAGGCAGCATGCTCGTTAAGAGTCATCACCACTCCCTAATCTCAGGTACCCAGGGACACAGACGCTGCGGAAGGCCGCAGGGTCCTCTGCCTAGGAAAACCAGAGACCTTTGTTCACTTGTTTATCTGCTGACCTTCCCTCCACTGTTGTCCTATGACCCTGCCAAGTCCCCCTCTGTGAGAAACACCCAAGAATTATCAATAAAAAATAAATAAATAAATAAATAAATAAATAAAAAAGATTTCTTTGGGGGGTGCTGGGAATGTTCTGGAACTCAATAGTGGTAACTGCACAAGTCTGTAAATATACTAATTTTGAATCATTAAAACTAAAATTCATTAACAATCATTGAATTATACACATGAAAACAAGCGAACTTTATGGATTGCGATTTTTTTTTTTTTTTTTTTGAGGCAGAGTTTCGCTCTTGTTGCCCAGGCTGGAGTGCAATGGCGCGATCTCAGCTCACTGCAACCTCTGCCTCCAGATGCAAGCGATTCTTACATCTCAGCCTCCCAAGTAGCTGGGATTACAGGCATGCACCACCATGCCCCGCCAATTTTTGTATTTTTAGTAGAGACAGAGTTTCACCATGTTGCTTCGTCTGGTCTCGAACTCCTGACCTCAGGTGATCCGCCCGCCTCGACTTCCCAATGTGCTGGGATTACAGGCATGAGCCAGCATGGTGGCCATGGAGTGCAACTTTTATCTCAATAATGCTGTTTTGAAAATAGTACAGAGAGTTCTTGTGTACCCTTCACGTAGCTTGAGAACTTTTTATTTTATTTTATTTTTGAGCGAGAGTCTCACTCGGTCACCCAAGCTGGAGTGCAATAGCATGATCTCAGCTCACTACAACCTCCACCTCCGGGTGCAAGCGATTCTTATGCCTCAGCCTCCCAAGTAACTAGGATTACAGGCATGTGCCACCATGCCCCACTAATTTTTGTATTTTAGTAGAGACAGGTTTTCACCATGTTGGCTAGGCTGGTCTCGAATTCCTGACCTCAAATGATCCACCTGCCTCAGCCTCCCAAAGTGCTGGGATTACAGGCGTGAGCCACCACACCTGCCCCCTGCCCACCCCCCAGAACTTGTTTTTTTTTTTTTTTTTGGAGACGGAGTCTTGCTCTGTCACCCAGGCTGGAGTGCAGTGGCCCGATCTTGGCTTACTGCAACCTCTGCCTACCGGGTTCACACCATTCTCCTGCCTCAGCCTCCCGAGTAGCTGGGACTACAGGCGCCTGCCACCATGCCCGGCTAATTTTTTTGTATTTTTAGTAGAGATGGGGTTTCACCGTGTTAGCCAGGATGGTCTCGATCTCCTGACCTCGTGATCCACCCTCCTCAGCCTCCCAAAGTGCTGGGATTACAGGCGTGAACCACCGCGCCCGGCCACCCCCCAGAACTTCTTATACAACCATAGAGCGACAATCAAACCAGGAAATTGACATTGGTACAATACTCTTTTTTTCTTTTTTGAGACGGAGTCTTGCTCTTTTGCCCAGGCTGGAGTGCAGTGACTATCTCAGCTCACTACAACCTCTACCTCCTGGGTTCAAGCGATTCTCCTTCCTTAGCCTCTCAAGTAGCTCGAAGCACAGGTGCGTGCCACCATGCCCGGCTAATTTTTTTGTATTTTTAGTAGAGACAGGGTTTCACCGTGTTAGCCAGGATGGTCTCGATCTCCTGACCTTGTGATCCGCCAGCCTCGGCCTCCCAAAGTGCTGGGATTACAGGCGTGAACCACCGCGCCCGGCCACAATACTCTTAATGAAACTACAGACCATAGTAGGATTTCACCAGGGCTTAGAGCAATGTCTGGCACGTAGTGAACCTTACACAGGTGAAAGGACTTCACTACCATGACGATGATGATGATGAAGATGATAATGATGATGTTGGACTTTCTAGCACAGCCAGATTGATATGGTGCCTATTTTCAGAGCATGCCATGTTAGTTTCTATATCTAAACCTTTTTTGGCCTGGCACGGTGGCTCACGCCTGAAATCCCAGCAATTTGCGAGGCTGAGGTAGGCAGATTACTTGAGCTCAGTAGTTCGAGACCAGCCTGACAAACATGGAGAAACGCCATCTCTACGAAAAATACAAAATTAGCCGGGTGTGGTGGCACATGCCTGTAACCCCAGCTACTCAGGAGGCTGAGGCAGGAGAATCGCTTGAATCCTGGAGGCAGAGGTTGCAGTGAGCCGAGATTGTGACACTGCACTCCAGCCTGGCAACAGAGTGAGACTCTGCCTCAAAAAACAAAAAACAAACCAAAACCCCCACTTTTTTTCTATGAAACCAGCCTCGCTCTGTCACCCAGGCTGGAGTGCAGTGGTGCCATCATGATCCTCCCACCTCAGCCTCCCGAGTAGCTGGGACTACAGGCATGTACCACTATGCCTGGTTAATATTTTTATTATTTGTAGAGATGAGGGTCTCAGTATGTTGCCCAGGCTAGTCTTAAACTCATGAGTTTAACCAATCCTCTCGCCGCTGCCTCCCAACGTGCTAGGATTACAGGTATGAGTCACGGTGCCCGGCTTCTTTCTTAACTCTTTCTAGTAGTTCTACCACTTGGGATTACCTTTTTCCTTCCTCTCCATTTACCTTTATGAAATCCTCACATCCATCCATCTCCATCAAATCTTTAACAATTCTCCTCTGTCTTTTTTGACTGTAGGGACCTTTAGAACACCCAGCATTAAAAAATAGATTTCAGGCCGGGCATGGGGGCTCACGCCTGTAATCCCAGCACTTTGGGAGGGCCGAGGCAGGAGGATTTCGTAAGGTCAGGAGTTTGAGACCAGCCTGGCCAACATAGTGAAACCCTGTCTCTACTAAAAATCCAAAACTTAGCCGGCAGTAGTGGCGCGTGCCTGTAATCCAGCTACTCTGGAGACTGAGGCAGGAGAATTGCTTGATCCTGGGAGGTGGAGGTTGTGATGAATTGAGATCGCGCCATTGCACTCCAGTCTGGGCAACAGAGTGAGACCCTGTCTCAAAAAAACAAAAGGAATATTTTTTAAATTTTTACCGTTCTGAAAGCACATTGACATCCTTTGAATTTTTTTCTAATTATTTCACTTTGATTTGTAAATTCTCAACTAGATTCAGGGGCTGTATGGGTTACAATTCCTCTGCACCCTCCACAGAATTTCAGACTTTTTTTTTTCCCCCGAGACAGAGTCTCGCTCTGTCACCCAGGCTGGAGTGCAGTGGCGCGATCTTGGCTCACTGCAACCTCCCCCTCCCGGGTCAAGCGATTCTCCTGCCTCAGCCTCCCGAGTAGCTGGGACTACAGGCGCCCGCCACCACGCCCGGCTAATGTTTGTATTTTTAGTAGAGACGGGGTTTCACCATGTTGGCCAGGCTGGCCTCGAACTTCTGGCTTTAAGTGATCCGCCTGCCTCGGCCTCCCAAAGTGCTGCGATTCCAGGCGTGAGCCACCGCGCCCGGCCAAGGTCTTAATTCTTGCCTGCCTTTCTGCTCCCCTGTGAACTCTACTGGTTGTCTTTTTTCCTGCTTTATCCCTCGTCCTCGGTAGACAGTGATGGTTAAATGAATGAATGCATGAACAAATGACTGTCCAGGAGCTAGTACTGCATTGCATGTACACATTGATGACAACAGACATCGTACAATGCGCAATCTTGGCAAATTTATTCAAACCCTTTAGACTTCGCTCTCTCACAGTGCGACGCCGGGAGCCCATCACACGCTGAGGTCTGTCAGAGGCCCCAGAAACAGCCTCGGAAATGGAGGAGGCGGGGCTTCACCCCGACCACACCCCCTTGCGTTCAAAGCCTTTCCGCCTATGGGCCCGCCTCCTCGGCGCAGTGTGCAACTCTAATTGGTCGTCTCACTAATCCATCTGAGCACCTCGGCGCCGACTGGATCAACTGCTGAACTCGGGTTGCGCACTTCCCGGCGCTGGGAACGCGGAGCGGACGCAGTCTGGCCGCCATTGCGCTGCGGGGAAAGCGGCCTCTTGTGTGAGGGCCTGTGGGGTGCGTGGCAGGCGTTTAAGGCCGGGCTGCGGGAGGCGTGGTCGGGTCGGGCCGAGTGACCGAAGGGGTTAGGCCGGGCGGGGCTGGATGCACTGTGTGGCGGGACTGCAGGCCGGGGTCCCCGGACGCCTTTCTGCTGCGCTTCTTGTGGGCCCGGGCCTGTGGTTAGTGAATTTTTCTATCCCGCCGCTCCCCAGATTCTCCGGATATGGCCGGAGTGTTTCCTTATCGAGGGCCGGGTAACCCGGTGCCTGGCCCTCTAGCCCCGCTACCGGACTACATGTCGGAGGAGAAGCTGCAGGAGAAAGGTGAGGCGAGAGTGTGGAGCGGCGCGCGGGCCGGAGGCGGGGCGGGTGTGCGCGCGCGCAGGCGGGTGGGGACCCTCCCCGTTTGGGCAGCTCCTGAGGTGTCAGCTCCCTTGTTATTTCCAGTTAATTTTTCATCAAGTCATTTTAAGCGCGTATTATTTGCAAGCGCTGATCCAGCGGGGGTACAGTAGTGACGGAGACAAAATTCCTGTCCTTACGGGGTTTAAATTACAGCGGGAGAGACAGAGAATAACAAAACCTTGAAGCTCTGTAATAAAAATGTCAGGCCGGGCGCGGTGGCTCACGGTTGTAATCCCAGCACTTTGGGAGGCCCAGGCGGGCGGATCACCTGAGGTCAGGAGTTCGAGACCAGCCTGGCCAACACAGTGAAACCTCGTCTCTACGAAAAATACAAAAATGAGTCGTGTGTGGTGGCGCGTGTCTATAATCCCAGCTACTGGGGAGGCTGAGGCAGGAGAATGGCTTGAACCCAGGAGGCGGAGGTTGCAGTGAGCCGACATCGCACCATTGCACTCCAGCCTGGGAGACAGAGTGAAACAACCTCTCAAAAAAAAAAAAAAAAGTCAGATAGTGATCAATGTGATGAAAGGAAAAACAGAGTAAAATGGTAAGGGAATTGGCAAGGGGTGCTTCTTCCTGCTGGTGCCTGCTTCTCCCTCACACTCACTGACAGGAGCTTACCCTAGGGCAAGAGGTGAAGAGGATTAGGGGGAGGGTGTGCAGGCCTTTAAACTGAGGTGCCTTTCCAGCTCGAAAATGGCAGCAATTGCAGGCCAAGCGCTATGCAGAAAAGCGGAAGTTTGGGTTTGTGGATGCCCAGAAGGAAGACATGCCCCCAGAACATGTCAGGAAGATCATTCGAGACCATGGAGACATGACCAACAGGAAGTTCCGCCATGACAAAAGGGTTTACTTGGGGTAAGGAACATCCTGAAATAATTTCATTTGGAATTTGGCCCTTTTCCCTTCTCCCTGTCCCACAGTCTTGGATTGATGCTTTGACAGCTCATCTTGGTGGATATAAGAGAAAGGAGAAAACCAGTAGGAGTCTCTGATAATTTCTACATCTTCCACTTTTGCAGTCTGTTTCCCCTCTCTTCCCGATCTGGGACTGGTGCTTTAATTTGTCCTGTTGATGATATTATAAGATGTCCCTGGCCAGGCGCGGTGGCTCATGCCTGTAATCCCAGCACTTTGGGAGGCCGAGGCGGGTGGATCATGAGGTCAGGAGATCGAGACCATCCTGGCTAACACGGTGAAACCCCGTCTCTACTAAAAATACACAAAATTAGCTGGGCGTGGTGGCAGGTGTCTGTAGTCCCAGCTACTTGGGAGGCTGAGGCAGGAGAATGGCGTGAACCTGGGAGGCGGAACTTGTAGTGAGCCGAGATCACACCACTGCACTCTGGCCTGGGCGAAAGTACGAGACTCCGTCTCAAAAAAAAAAAAAAAATGAAAAATAAGATGTCCCTATGGTTGAGCTGGTTGAAGTCCAGAGTGGGATACTGTGCATAGTGGCAGCCTGTCGCTCCTCAGGGACCTGAATTCTGTGTTTGGGGTATTTAATTTCAGAGGTTTCCCTACTCCTGTTTTTTCTGTGGCTCTAAACTGGGCTAGTACAGGTACAGATGTCTTAGCAGATTCCTGTTCTATTTGGACACAAAAATGTTTGCCATGTAATGAACTGGAAGTTTTGTTTATTTCAAAAAATACTTAGAGAACTGTGCTGGCTGCTGGGGATATAGTAGCGAGCAGAGGGTAACAATCTCCGCCTTTCTGCAGTGTGCGGTCTAGTGGCCTGACAGACATGAGACAACTGGTGATAGTGAAGTATGGTGAATACTTTATTATGATTTATGGGAAGATGCGGAGGGAATAGGATGTGAGAGAGCCGCAAAGCTGTCTCCAGAGGGATAGCCGTTGATTTAGAGGAGCTGATACCAGCATTGTGGGATTATGACGTTTAAGAAGAGTGGTGCAAGGTGAAGTTGGAGAGGGAGAGGCAGGGTTTCTGGTTAGGAAGGGCCTGTGGGCTAAGTTTGGGAGTTTGGATTGTAAGGTAGGACTGTGGAACATGAACATGTGGCTTCTCTGCATGGGACAGGTAGCAGAACACCTCGTCATTTCTGATAGCCTTCTCTTTTTCTAATGTGCCAGTGCCCTAAAGTACATGCCCCACGCAGTCCTCAAACTCCTGGAGAACATGCCTATGCCTTGGGAGCAGATTCGGGATGTGCCTGTGCTGTACCACATCACTGGAGCCATTTCCTTCGTCAATGAGATTCCCTGGGTCATTGAACCTGTCTACATCTCCCAGTGGGGGTGAGAAAGGCTGAAATATGGTGGGTGGTGGTGGTGGTGGTGGTTGGGAGGCAGTGGGTAGAAATGGTTGTGTGATGTCTTGCCTTCCAGGTCAATGTGGATTATGATGCGCCGAGAAAAAAGAGATAGGAGGCATTTCAAGAGGATGCGTTTTCCCCCTTTTGATGATGAGGAGCCGCCCTTGGACTATGCTGACAACATCCTAGATGTTGAGCCACTGGAGGCCATTCAGCTAGAGCTGGACCCTGAGGAGGACGCCCCTGTGTTGGACTGGTTCTATGACCACCAGCCGTTGAGGGACAGCAGGAAGTGAGTGATAGATGGAGATACTACACCTGGGAGGAGTTCTGGAAATGCAGAAGGAGTCCTGGGAGATCAGTAGGTGGTATGGGTTTGTCTAGCTGCTTACTTGAGGTGGGCCTTTCATTTTTTACCTAGGTATGTAAATGGCTCCACTTACCAGCGCTGGCAGTTCACACTACCTATGATGTCGACTCTCTACCGCCTGGCTAATCAGCTCCTGACAGACTTGGTGGATGACAACTACTTCTACCTGTTTGATTTGAAGGCCTTCTTTACGTCCAAGGCACTCAATATGGCCATTCCTGGAGGCCCCAAATTTGAACCTCTTGTTCGAGACATCAACCTACAGTGAGTTGGAGAGATTAGGGATTTTAGACATTTTGAGTTGAATGAAACGTAATCTTGATCCTTAAAGTCCTGATATAACTTCCAAATTAGTCTGTTTACACCAGGTGCAGTGGCTCACGCTGTAATCTCAGCACTTTGGGAAGCTGAGGCAGGAGGATTGCTTGAGCCCAGAAGTTTGAGACCAATCTGGGCAAAATGGCAAAACCCTATCTTTACCAAAAAATGTAGCTGGGCGTGGTGACACTCACAGCTTCGTGTAGTCTCAGTTACTTGGGAAGCTGAGCTGTGGGAGGATTGTTTGAGCCCAGGAGGTCACGGCTGCAGTGAACGATGATCATGCCATTGCATTCCAGCTTGGGTGATAAGAGTGAGACCCTGTCTCAAAAAAAAAAAAGTCTGCTTATTCTTGATGTTGTACCCTAGGGATGAAGACTGGAATGAATTCAATGATATTAACAAGATTATCATCCGGCAGCCTATCCGCACTGAGTACAAGATTGCTTTTCCTTACTTGTACAACAATCTTCCACACCATGTCCACCTCACCTGGTAAGAGACCTGGAACACAACATTTGGAAAGGAGAAGGCTGCTGTTTAGGTTGGGCCAGGGCGGGAAAACTTTGGCTGACTCTTCCTTTCATTTTAGGTACCATACTCCCAATGTTGTATTCATCAAAACTGAGGATCCTGACTTGCCAGCTTTCTACTTTGACCCTTTGATCAACCCAATCTCCCATAGGCACTCAGTCAAGGTGAGGAAGGGAAGGGATGCTTTCCCTCAGCTCTTCTAGGAGAAATGCGTGAGGTTGGCTGATGTTACTAAACGCTCAGGTGGAGGGAGATGTGTTTTCCGTCTTGCTAAGTGTTCCCCTTGAGCTATAAGCGAATATGAGAATTCAGCATTTGCTTTAAAACATGTCATTGGTATAATCCTGTTTTCTGTGATTATCCTTTTGGACTTTACGGTTCTTTTCTTGGGTGCTCTAGATAATCTGTCCCGGTCTGTCTCTATTGTGTTTGTTTGTTTTAGCCTTTATATTGAGATGTAGTTAACATACCATACAAGTTATCCATTTAAAGTGTGTAATTTGATGGTTTTTAGCTTATTCTCAGAGTTGTCCCAACTGTCACGACATGCAATTTGAGAATATTTTTATTACTTGAGAAAGAAACCCTTAGCAGTTACTCGCCATTTCTCCCCAACTTCCTTACGCAACCACTAATCTACTTTCTGTCTATAGATTTGGCTATTCTACACATTTCATATGATAGAATGAAATAGAATCGTACACTATGTAGTCTTCAGTGACTGGCTTCTTAAGCTTACCATAATGTTTTTGATGCTCATCTGTGTTCCGTTGTGTCCAAGCCCAGTGTTTGGAGCTTGGGTGGGAGATGATTGCAATGTTGACCTCCTGTGATGTTGGGGCTCCATTGGGAGGCTTTCTGGTGGTCAGCCAGTTGAGGTGTGAGAAGTGACGCTTGCTTTCCTGGTGGCCCTGTCTTGTTCTTTGCTGTCTTGGTTTCCTTTGTGCTGGCACTTCAGGGCTGCTTTTGTCAGACAGCCCAGTTTCCATAGCAGATACAGGCTTTGTGCTTGGCCCCAGAGAATTTCCCTCATCTTAAGTCTGTGCCTAGTTCAGCAGGAGCTAAACCCTTAGAGGGATTCCTTTTTCAGAGCCAGGAACCATTGCCGGATGATGATGAGGAATTTGAGCTCCCGGAGTTTGTGGAGCCCTTCCTGAAGGACACACCCCTCTATACAGACAATACAGCCAATGGCATTGCCCTGCTCTGGGCCCCGCGGCCCTTCAACCTACGCTCTGGTCGCACCCGTCGGGCCCTGGACATACCCCTTGTCAAGAACTGGTAAGGTTTTTCCCTGTGGCAGGGGGAATGATAGTGGATGTGTAGGAGAAAAGACTCCAACTAGGTGGGCATGTAGCCTTTTTTTTAAATTCTTTTTTTTTTTTTCCCATAAAAATGGTAGACAACCCAAGGCTTGCAGCCTTTAGCAGAGTGTCTGGAAGAAGAGATGGCCAAACTCTGGTGGGCTTATTTTTCCAGGTATCGGGAGCATTGTCCTGCCGGGCAGCCTGTGAAAGTGAGGGTCTCCTACCAGAAGCTGCTTAAGTACTATGTGCTGAATGCCCTGAAGCATCGGCCCCCTAAGGCTCAAAAGAAGAGGTAAGGTGCCCCAGGGGCCCTGCGCAGACTTCTGTTCCAGAGATATCAGTAGGCTGACTCTTACTCTCCATGTTCCCACCTCAGGTATTTGTTCCGCTCCTTCAAAGCCACCAAATTCTTTCAGTCCACAAAGCTGGACTGGGTGGAGGTTGGGCTCCAGGTTTGCCGCCAGGGCTACAACATGCTCAACCTTCTCATTCACCGCAAAAACCTCAACTACCTGCACCTGGACTACAACTTCAACCTCAAGCCTGTGAAAACGCTCACCACCAAGGTGCCTGCATTGGACCCTAGGGGCCTCCTGGGCTTCAAGGACGGACAGTTGTTTTCCTCTGGTTACTGATGAAGGCATACATCAGTTGGGTCCATTGCTCATTCACGTTCTGTCTGTTTTTTGCATCTTCTCCAGGAAAGAAAGAAATCTCGTTTTGGGAATGCTTTCCACCTGTGTCGGGAAGTTCTGCGTTTGACTAAGCTGGTGGTGGATAGTCACGTGCAGTATCGGCTGGGCAATGTGGATGCCTTCCAGGTAAGGTTAGGTATTCCCAACCCCTGCCTGGGTGAGGACGCTGGAGGAAGCCTGTGCTGACCGTGGAGCTGGTTTAAGCTCCAGGTCTGATGGGGCAATTGTATTGCAGCTGGCAGATGGATTGCAGTATATATTTGCCCATGTTGGGCAGTTGACGGGCATGTATCGATACAAATACAAGCTGATGCGACAGATTCGCATGTGCAAGGACCTGAAGCATCTCATCTATTATCGTTTCAACACGGTGAGACCTTGACTTTACTGACTTTCTTTTTTTTGAGACAGAGTCTTACTCTTGTCTCTTGGGCTGGTGTGCAATGGCACGATCTTGGCTCACTGCAACCTCCGCCTCCTGAGTTCAAGCAATTCTCCTGCCTCAGCCTCCCGAGTAGCTGGGATTACAGGTGCCCGCCACCACGCCTGGCAATTTTTTTTTTGTTTTGTTTTGAAACTGAGTCTTTCTCTGTTGCCCCAGCTGGAGTACAATGGCACGATCTTGGCTCACCACAGCCTCCGCCTCCCGGGTTGAAGTGATTCTCCTGCTTCAGCCTCCCAAGTAGCTGGGACTACAGGCGCGCACCACCATGCCTGGCTAGTTTTTGAAATTTTAGTAGAGATGGGGTTTCACTGTATTGGCCAGGCTGGTCTTGAACTCCTGACCTCAGGTGATCCACACTCCTCGGCCTCCCAAAGTACTGGGATTACCAGCGTGAGTCACCGTGCCCAGCCTCACTGGACTTAACTTTCTCAGATCTTTTTTCATGTATACATTTAGACAGGGCTCTTTCCAGGGACCTATTTGGAGAGCAGCTATGACTGTGTCCTTACTGCTCCTTTAAATTCACATGGGCGATCTTAGTTCCTGGTTTTTGCCTTAAGGTTTCTCATTTACCCTTTTGTTTTAGATGTTGAGGTCCCAGAGTTTTTTTTTCTTTTTACCCCTCTACTGCCATACCTACATTCCTCTGTATGTATATTATACATATATGCCCCACCTCTGCCCAGGTTTCTATTGTTGTTTAAATGCATTGCTAACTTGTATTCTTAACTTCTGCTTGGGATCGTAGGGCCCTGTAGGGAAGGGTCCTGGCTGTGGCTTCTGGGCTGCCGGTTGGCGAGTCTGGCTCTTTTTCATGCGTGGCATTACCCCTTTATTAGAGCGATGGCTTGGCAACCTCCTGGCCCGGCAGTTTGAAGGTGAGTGGTTTTCTCTGTGTCCAACTTCTCCTGTTATTGCTTCAAAAGTACCTGCCCCTGTTTGAGTCTGTTCCCTGCTCTTGTATGAGCACTCTTCCTACTGGATTGCCTTTAGGTCCAGTTCTGAAATGAGTCTGACCTAGTATTCTATTTCTTGGGCTTCCTTCTGGGGCCTTGAGAGGCAGTCATGCATTTGCAGGAGTGGAAATTCCTCAGAAGCATAGTTGTGAATGTTTAAGGTAGCTCGTCTTTTTGCATATGCTGGGCACAGGGACGCTTTGTTAATACCTAATTTTATTAATAACCATAATGAGTGAGGAGCATGAAGGTAGAGACCCTTATTGAAAGCAAGGAATCTTCCTTGTAATCCCCTTGGGACACTCTACTTCCAGGTCGACACTCAAAGGGGGTGGCAAAGACAGTAACAAAGCAGCGAGTGGAGTCACATTTTGACCTTGAGCTGCGGGCAGCTGTGATGCATGATATTCTGGACATGATGCCTGAGGGGATCAAGCAGAACAAGGCCCGGACAATCCTGCAGCACCTCAGTGAAGCCTGGCGCTGCTGGAAAGCCAACATTCCCTGGAAGGTGGGTGTCTCTTTATTTCCTTGGAGGCGTAAACATCCGTCTTTAGGGTAGGATTACCACTTCGGGAATCATTAGGGGGCTATCTGGCTCCAATCTCTTTTCTTTTCCCTTTTAGACAGGGAAAAGAAGCACCATGTTGCTTAGGCTGGCCTCAAGCTCCTGAGCTCAAGCGATCCTCCTTAGCCTCCTGAGTAGCCGGGACTACAGATGTGTGCCACAGTGCCTGGCTGGATCCTGGCTTGATTGTGCTTTTTGGACTTTTAGGTCCCTGGGCTGCCGACGCCCATAGAGAATATGATCCTTCGATACGTGAAGGCCAAGGCTGACTGGTGGACCAACACTGCCCACTACAACCGAGAACGGATCCGCCGAGGGGCCACTGTGGACAAGACTGTTTGTAAAAAGAATCTGGGCCGCCTCACCCGGCTCTATCTGAAGGCAGAACAGGAGCGGCAGCACAACTACCTGAAGGTTGGGCAGAGTAGGCTGGGCTGGGTGTGAGTGGTGGGGGAGTGGGCAAGAGGGAGGACTGTAGAGTTGTGACTGAACCTTGTTCTGGCAGGATCGGGCTGTAGCGGGAGGCTAATTTCATGTCCACCTTACAGGACGGGCCTTACATCACAGCGGAGGAAGCAGTGGCAGTATATACCA
Source organism: Homo sapiens (assembly GCF_000001405.40). Classification (NCBI taxonomy): domain Eukaryota; kingdom Metazoa; phylum Chordata; class Mammalia; order Primates; family Hominidae; genus Homo; species Homo sapiens. The sequence continues at coordinate 1,676,324 of NC_000017.11, read as the reverse complement.
CCACAGTGCATTGGTTGGAAAGCCGCAGGTTTTCACCCATCCCATTCCCCCCACTCTCCTATAAGCATGACACCAAGTTGCTCATCTTGGCATTGGAGCGGCTCAAGGAAGCTTATAGGTGAGTAGTAGGGTAGATAGGTTCCTGCTGGGAAGGTGACAGCAGGGAATGGCGTCATCCTCAGAGTCCAAAGAAAGAAGGTGTAGCCCCAGTCTTTCCTGGTTTTACTTCCTCCTAGTTTTCCCATTCACCCTTCCCATTGCTTTTGTCAGTGTGAAGTCTCGGTTGAACCAGTCTCAGAGGGAGGAGCTAGGTCTGATCGAGCAGGCCTACGATAACCCCCACGAGGCGCTGTCCCGCATCAAGCGTCACCTCCTCACACAGAGAGCCTTCAAAGAGGTGAGTGAGGCCTCCCAAGTTTTCTTTTTGGTTCTACCAAAGGTAGCAGTTGCCTTTGGTTCTACCAAAGGTAGCAGTTGGTGGATTGGTGTGAACCAGCCTCCTTGTCCCACAGGTGGGCATTGAGTTCATGGATCTGTATAGCCACCTCGTTCCAGTATATGATGTTGAGCCCCTGGAGAAGATAACTGATGCTTACCTGGACCAGTACCTGTGGTATGAAGCCGACAAGCGCCGCCTGTTCCCACCCTGGATTAAGCCTGCAGACACAGAACCACCTCCGCTGCTTGTTTACAAGTGGTGTCAAGGTAGAACTTTCATGAGATCGCCCTGTGAGGAACGGGGCAGGAATTTAGTTCTACGTCAAAAATCTCATCTGGGTAGCATGATTGGTTTACTCTCTTGATGCGTGGTAGTAAAGGGAAGTAGTGTTCGTGTTAAACTGAGGAAAAGCCCATAGTCAAAGCAATCCAAATGAATACGTGGAATCATAGTGGGATTGGTTATGGAAGGTAATGATAGTTCCTGTGGGGCTAGTCTTGCAAGAGGATTTCTAACCTGCTGGAGACCTGCCTTGCTACTCCTCAGGCATCAATAACCTGCAGGACGTGTGGGAGACGAGTGAAGGCGAGTGCAATGTCATGCTGGAATCCCGCTTTGAGAAGATGTATGAGAAGATCGACTTGACTCTGCTCAACAGGCTGCTGCGCCTCATCGTGGACCACAACATAGCCGACTACATGACAGCCAAGAACAACGTCGTCATCAACTATAAGGTGCGTCTCAGGCGCAGTAGCATGGAATTGTGTGTGGAGTGCTTGTCTGGCCCACTGACTCAGAATTTGCTGAGGAGGAGGCTGGGTGCGGTGGCTCATGCCTGTAATCCCAGCACTTTGGGAGGCTGAGGCGGGCAGATCACGAGGTCAGGAGTTCGAGACCAGTCTGGCCAACATGGTGAAACCCCGTCTCTACTTAAAAAAATACAAAAATTAGTTGGGTGTGGTGGTGGGCGCCTGTAATCCCAGCTACTTGGGAGGCTGAGGCAGGAGAATCACTTGAACCCGGGAAGTGGAGGTTGCAGTGAGCTGAGATTGCGCCAGTGCACTCTCAGCCTGGGTGACTGAGCACAACTCCGCCTCGGGAGTGGAAAAAAGTAGAATTTGCTGAGGGGAGAACAAAAGAGGTTAACTCTGGAGAATCCTGGGGCATGGCTCACATTCTTAAGAATTGTAGTTCTTTCTTTCTAGGACATGAACCATACGAATTCATATGGGATCATCAGAGGCCTGCAGTTTGCCTCATTCATCGTGCAGTATTATGGCCTGGTGATGGATTTGCTTGTATTGGGATTGCACCGGGCCAGTGAGATGGCTGGGCCCCCTCAGATGCCAAATGACTTTCTCAGTTTCCAGGACATAGCCACTGAGGCTGCCCACCCCATCCGTCTCTTCTGCAGATACATTGATCGCATCCATATTTTTTTCAGGTGAGGGCTTTCCTGGATTCCTAGCCTTGCAGGGTACTGAGGCATGTGCTTTGCCTCTGAAATCAGCTATTGTACCTGAGTTGACTTAACTGCTGTTGGGGCTTTAAAATGGAATGAAGCGGCCGGGTGCGGTAGCTCACGCCTGTAATCCCAGCACTTTGGGAGGCCGAGGCAGGCGGATCACGAGGTCAGGAGATCGAGACCATCCTGGCTAACACAGTGAAACCCCGTCTCTACTAAAAATACAAAAAATTAGCTGGGCGTGGTGGCGGGTGCCTGTAGTCCCAGCTACTCCGGAGGCTGAGGCTGGAGAAGGGCGTGAACCTGGGAGGCGGAGCTTGCAGTGAGCCGGGATTGCGCCGCTGCGCTCCAGCCTGGGGAAAGAGCGAGACTGTCTCAAAAAATAAATAAATAAAAATAAAATGGAATGAAGCCCGGGGAGGGTGGGGGTAGGATGGGGTGGGGTCTCCGTCTATTGAGCTGGAGGACTTGTGGGTGTCCCAAATCTCAGTGTACTGGGGCCTCAGCAGTGTACCTGGTCTGGTGTAGGTTCACAGCAGATGAGGCTCGGGACCTGATTCAACGTTACCTGACAGAGCACCCTGACCCCAATAATGAAAACATCGTTGGCTATAATAACAAGAAGTGCTGGCCCCGAGATGCCCGCATGCGCCTCATGAAACATGATGTTAACTTGTGAGTCTAGGTTGGGGCTGTGTGAGCTGGAAGGACATAAGCTAAGGGCCCAGAGAGGGCATACCTGAGGCTGCGTCCTGGGTGGGAGAGGCGTGGCTGTGTCAGGATGTCATCAGTTGGCCTTTGAAGGGAAGTTCCTTCCAAGAAACTGCTGTGACCATGTGTTCTCTGTGGGCAGAGGCCGGGCGGTATTCTGGGACATCAAGAACCGCTTGCCACGGTCAGTGACTACAGTTCAGTGGGAGAACAGCTTCGTGTCTGTGTACAGTAAGGACAACCCCAACCTGCTGTTCAACATGTGTGGCTTCGAGTGCCGCATCCTGCCTAAGTGCCGCACCAGCTATGAGGAGTTCACCCACAAGGACGGGGTCTGGAACCTGCAGAATGAGGTACAGCCTGGGCGGGGCTGGGAGTGACATGAACGCGCCTGCACTTCCTGGGTCAGTCACCGGAGTCTTGTTGGGTGGAAAGACTTGAGTGGTGGGCACAGTTGGCTCTTGCTTCTGTGGGAGTTCCTCGGACATGTTAACCTTGACTTTGTGGTTTAGGTTACTAAGGAGCGCACAGCTCAGTGTTTCCTGCGTGTGGACGATGAGTCAATGCAGCGCTTCCACAACCGCGTGCGTCAGATTCTCATGGCCTCTGGGTCCACCACCTTCACCAAGGTACAGGGCCGTCATGCCCAGCTTCCCTCTTGTCCTCTGCTGTCCTCTGCTCATTTCACACCCCTTTCACTTCGTCCCCTGCTGGCTGCTTCCTTCTCTTCTTTGCTTAGTGTGCCAGTTTCCATGCTCTGTGCCATAGTGGCTTATAGTATGTCAGGTCACTTCATCGTTATTTTCTGAGCGTTCCTTGTAGAAATTGTGTAGCCTCCTTCTTGTGGACTTGTGATGATTCTAAATTAAGGCAAGAGTAAAAGTTGGATTTATTATTTTGAACAGAAAAGCATTATTTTTGCATTTTCTCAGGTGCTTATCTAAGTCATGTTAACCAGTGGCATAGAGAACCTGTGAAAAAGCAGCCCTCATAGGCATCTCGGGGTTCGTTTCTCCTTCACTTACCTTCAGAGGCCCAGCCGAAGGCAACCGGAATTGAGAAAGAAAAATCTGAGGAATTTTGAACTACGTATATTTAAGGTTTTGCAAAATTTAAAAAGTTACCTCGGCCGGGCACGGTGGCTCACGCCTGTAATCCCAGCACTTTGGGAGGCCGAGGCTGGTGGATCACCTGAGGTCAGGAGTTTGAGACCAGCCTGTCCAGTGTGGTTCTGAAACCTCGTCTCTGCTAAAAATACAAAAATTAACCGGGCCTGGTGGCCGGCGCCTGTAATCGCAGCTACTTGGGAGGCTCAGGCAGGAGAATTGCTTGAACCCAGGAGGCGGACGTTGCTGTGAGTCGAGATCGTACCATTGCACTCTAGCCTGGGCGACAGAGCAAAAACTCTATCTCAAAATACAAACAAACAAAAAAAAGTTACCTTACTCTGGTTTCCATTAGAGTAACTCTTAGCTATAACATTTTTCTTGCATTCCGACCTTCATATCTCTAAATGTGCGGCATTTGCATGCGCAGAATGTTTTCTGTTTTTTAGTTAAGTCTGTTAAGGATACGTTCTGTTATGTTTTAGAACTATTGCATTACGGTTGAGTTTCCTTTATCCAAAATGCTTGGGACCAGAAATGTTTTGGATTTCAGATTTTCTTTTTTAATATTTTCATTATTTTTATTAGAGACAGGGTCTCACTGTCACTTAGGCTGAAGGGCAGTGGCGCTATCATAGCTCACTGCAGCTCAAGTGATCCTCACACCTCAGCCTCCCAAGTATCTGGGACCACAGGTGCATACGCCACCATGCCTGGCTAATTTTTAATTTTTTTTTTTTTTTTTTTTTTTTTGAGATGGAGTCTTGCTCTGTCACCCAGGCTGCAGTGCAGTGGCGCAGTCTTGGCTCACCGCAAGCTCCGCCTCCCAGGTTCACGCCATTCTCCTGCCTCAGCCTCCTGAGTAGCTGGGACTACAGGCGCCTGCCACCACGCCCGGCTAAGTTTTTGTATTTTTGGTAGAGAAGGGGTTTCACCGTGTTAGCCAGGATGGTCTCGAACTCCTGACCTTGTGATCCGCCTGCCTCAGCCTCCCAAAGTACTGGGATTACAGGCGTGAGCCACCACACCCGGCCTGATTTTTAAATTTTTTGTAGAGCTGGGATCTCACTCTCTTGTCCAGGCTGGTCTCAGACTCTGGATTCAAGCAGTCCTCCTGCCTTAGCCTCTCTAATGCTGGATTATAGGTGTGAGTCACCGTGCCCAGCCTTGAAATATTTTCATTATACTTACAGGTTCAGCATCCCTAATCCAAAATTTGAAATGCCCCAATGAGCATTTCCTTTGAGCGTCATGTTGGTGCTCAGAATGTTGGGACTCAGAAAGTTTCAGCTTTTTGTGAGCATTTTGGGTTTTAGATTAACCTGTATGTGGGAATCTGTGAGAGCACTAGAGTTAGTGATTGCTCTAGCCCAGTCTGGAAGTGGAAGAGGAAAGGATTCCTGAAAGAAGTAGCATGTGATGAGACAGGTGAGGGAGAGCATTCCTTTAGCCAGAAGTGTGGCGATGTAACTAGCTTGTGTACATGGGACCATGGAAAGTTCAAGGTTTGCTGGAGTAAATTGTGGAATTGGGAATGTTAAGAGATGAGGCTGGATAAATAGTGGAGAGCCATATCATGGAGGGCATCGCACACCTTAGGAAGAATCATATAAGGGTCTTAAGCACAGAGTGACTTTGTCAGATGTGTTTTTCTTCTTTTTTTTTTTTGGCTTCCCACACTACAGATGCAGACTTTGTCAAATTTCTGTGTTAGATGATTCACTCTTGCAGCTGTGAGAAAGATGGACCTGAAAGGATAGGATGGGAGACCAGGTTTGGGGACCACTGAAGAAGTCCAGATAAAAATGATGAGAGCAGGCCAGGCGCGGGGGCTCACGCCTGTAATCCCAGCACTTTGGGAGGCCCAGGCAGGTGGATCACCTGAGGTCAGGAGTTTGAGACCAGCCTGACCAACATGGGGAAACCCCATCTCTACTTAAAATATGAAAATTAGCCGGGCGTGGTGGTGCACACCTGTAATCCCAGCTACACAGGAGGCTGAGGCAGGAGAATCGCTGGAACCCGGGAGGCGGAGGTTGCAGTGAGCCGAGATCCCACCAGTGCACTCCAGCCTGGCAACAGGGTGAGACTCTGTCTCCAAAAAAATACATAAATCAATAAAAATGATGAGAGCACTGAAAGTAGAGGTAGGAAGAGGGGAACAGATTTGATAAGAAGTTAGCAGATAAAATCAGCAGAACTTTGTGGTCCTGGGATGCTCAAAGAAAAGTCAAAAATGATGTGCAGATTTTGGCATGGGTGACTAGGTGGGTGTTAGTGCCACCAACTGGAAGACCACATGAACAAGAACAGGTTTAGGATCGAAGATAAAGAAATCTAGTTTAGGATATATAAAGTTTGAAGTTCCTGAGAACATTCAGATGGAGATTTCCCCAGGTATTTATTTATACCTTATTTCTTCAGTTCCAAGATACATATTTAAGTACATATATACACATGTGTAGATTCCTGATTCCTTCTGCTCCCTTAGTGGTGCCTCTTTAATTGATGATCTGTTAGATTTGATTTAAAAAGTATGAGTGAGACATTCCAGGGAGAGAAATGAAACTAGAAAGGTAAGAGCAGTCAGGGATAGCTTAGAGGTTCCTAGGTGAGAAGCAATCTGAAGAAACATGGAGAACAGGTCTGGATTAAAGATGTAGATTTCGGAGCCTATCCACAAAAGGTCAAAAGCTCAAGAATGAGTGACATCACCCAGGGACAATGTGGAGTGAGAAGAGGAGAGGGAGGAATTTGGAAATGTGGGGAATACTAAGATGAAGTGTGGTCAGAACCTGTGGGAGGGTGCCGGGTCTTGGAACCAAGGCCTTCAGGAACACGTGTCCAGAATTGGGGTGATGCTGAGCAGTGTCAGTTGCCTAAGAGCATTTCAGTTAGATGAGGACTGAAAAGTATCCATTGGATTTGACAGTTAGGACGTCATTGGTGACCTTAGCAGGAGCTGTTACAGAAATAGTAGGGATGGAAGCCAGATGGCAGTGGGTGAGGCTTCATGGGAAGTGAGTGAGTGGAGACAGCAAGGACAATCTGTTTGTCAGTTGAAGAGAAGGAAGGACATCAGATGCCACCTAGAGGGAGCTGTAAGTCAGTGCAGGTGTTTTTGAATGACAGTGACTTGAGCGTGTTTTAATTAAGGAGCCCAGTAGCAGTTGAGTGTACAAGAGAAAAGTGTGGAATTGGCTGGACACAGTGGCTCACGCCCGTAATCCCAGCACTTTGGGAGGCCAAGGTGGGTGAATCACCAAGTCAGGAGTTCGAGACCAGCCTGGCCAACATGGTGAAACCCCGTCTCTACTAAAAATACAAAAATTAGCCAGGCGCGGTGGCGGGTGCCTGTAATCTCAGCTACTCGGGAGGCTGAGGCAGGAGAATTGCTTGAACCCGGGAGGTAGAGGTTGCAGTGAGCCAAGATCGTGCCACTGCACCCCAGCCTCGGCGACAGAGCAAGACTCCGTCTCGAAGAAAAGAAAAGTAGGTAATTGATGAGCAGAGGTGCAGAGGGTCTCCCTAGGGATAGAATAAAGAGCAAGCAGAGGAAAAATCCTCTGAACCTGACAGGAAAGAGGTCTGGAAAGATGTGGATATAGATGAGGTTAGTGGGAAGCTATAACAGGATTTTGAGTTTTTCAGCTTTTCTTGGGCTGCAGTTAGGGGAAAGAGTTGTGCATAGTGAATTTCATGGTATTAGGGTATGATGATTGCTGAAGAAACTGAGAGGGATTGGAAGGTGTGTTGGGAGCTCAGCTGGGTTTTGGGAAGACAACTCTGAGCATTTGTTTTTCCCAGAATCACCCAGCTACTCAGTGACAGGGATGCAGAAGGTGGATAGATTACACTGGTGATTAAGGAATAGAGCTCTGTTAGAAGACAGTTGTAGAGTGGTAAGGCATTGAATGCAAGGGAATCAAGAGTGCGGGACCCAGCCGGCCGCGGTGGCTCATACCTGTAATCCCAGCACTTTGGGAGGCCGAGGCGGGTGGATCACGAGTTCAGGAGATTGAGACCATCCTGGCTAACGCGGTGAAACCCCGTCTCTACTAAAAATACAAAAAATTAGCTGGATGTCGTGGCGGGCGCCTGTGGTCCCAGCTACTCAGGGGGGCTGATGCAGGAGAATGGCAGGAACCTGGGAGGCAGAGCTTGCAGTGAACCGAGATCGCGACACTGCACTCCAGCCTGGGTGACAGAGCAAGACTCTGTCTCAAAAAAAAAAAAAAAAAAAAAAAAAGAATGCTAGACCCCATTGAGATACTGGAAGAGGGGAGAGGAGAGAGAGCAGAAGAGGCCATTGGCCTGGGAAAGAATTGTAGGCATCAGGGAACTGGATATCAGAAGTTAGAGGCTGAGGAGTGGAGGAGTGTCTGAGAGGGTAAGGATGCAGTTGACTCTAGTGGTTAGAAGCACAGGCTCTGGAGTCAGATGGGGTTCACATCATATCTTTGTCATATTACTAGTTGGGATCTTGGGAATATTGCCCATGCTGGGCCTCAATTCCCTCATCTGTAAAATAGGGATACTGATAGGACCTAGGTCAGACGGCTTTTGTGAGAATTAAATGAAACGGGGTATTTAGTAAGCCATATTACTTGGTAAATTGCATGATAAAGCTGGGCATGGTGGCTTATGCCTGCAATCCCAGCACTTTTGGAAGCCGAGGTGGGAGGACTGCTTGAGCCCAGGAATTTGAGACCAGCTTAGGCAACATAGCAAGATCCTGTTTATATTTAAAAATAAATAAATAGGCCGGGTGCGGTGGCTCACGCCTGTAATCCCAGCACTTTGGGAGGCCGAGGTAGGTGGATCACGAGGTCAGGAGTTCAGGACCAGCCTGGCCAATATGGTGAAACCCCATCTCTACTAAAAATACAAAAATTAGCCAGGCGTGGTGGCACATGTCTGTAGTCCCAGCTACTCTGGAGACTGAAGCAGGAGAACCACTTGAGCCCCGGAGGTGGAGGTTGCGGTGAGCTGAGATTGCGCCACTGCACTCCAGCCTGGGTGACAAAGTGAGACTCCATCTCAAAAAAAAAAAAAAAAAAAAAAAGCTATGTCATGGGCAAGTTCTATAACTTGTTTTTTATGAAGACATAAGAGGTATAACATATATAAATTTCTTACCATGGTACCTAGTACACGTAGACCTGAGTAAATATTATTTTCCTTCTTGCCTCCCCTTATCCCCCAGGAATTTCTGCTATTTAGTAAAGGAACACTGGGCTCCTCAGGAATTTATGCCTCCTCCCCTTCAGGGATAGAGCACTGTTAACTACAACAGAAATACTGTGTTCCATTACACACATCAGCAATTCCAAGTGCAGTCCAAGAATTTACTAAACCTAATGGGAATCATCCACTTGCCTTTACCCCAGTATCTAGCCTATCCTGGCCCCTGGCCCTCCTTTTTTTTTTTGAGAGGGAGTCTTGCTCTATTGCCCAGGCTGGAGTGCAGTGGCACAATTTCAGCTCACTGCGACCCCCGCCTCCCGGGTTTAAGTAATTCTCCTGCCTCAGCCTCCTGAGTAGCTGGGATTACAGGTGCCTGCCACCATGCCCGGCTAATTTTTGTATTTTTAGTAGAGACAGGGTTTCACCATGTTGGTCAGGCTGGTCTCAAACTCCTGACCTCATGATCCAACCGCCTCGGCCTCCCAAAGTGCTGGGATTACAGGCATGAGCCACCGCACCCGGCCCCCCTCCTTTCTGTAGATCTGCCTGGTTGTCTCATCCTGTGGACATGCGAGATGCTCAGTCTAGCTTTCATAGTAGGGTTTGAGCTGTTATCTCACCTGCAGTCTTTTCTCCTTGCTTGTCTGAATACCATTTGCTCAAGGCAGATTACTATAGTAACTCCAGCCAACGCACTCTTTCACCTCAATAATTGTTCAGAAGACATTTTTTGCCTTAAAGTCTTGACTATATCATTTGGTATTTTGTGGTTTGCTATCTTGTTTTATTCAGCTTTTCAAAGAAACAGCTTTGGTTTCATTAATTTTTATCGTTTTTCTCTTTTTTGTTGCATTGATTTTTTTTTTTTTTGAGATGGGGTCTCTATGACCCAGGTTGGTGTGCAGTGTCGCAGTCTCAGCTCACTGTAACCTCTGCCTCCCAGGCTCAGGAGACCCTCCCACCTTAGCCTCCCAAGTAGCTGGGACCACAGGCACATGCCACCATGCCTGGCTGATTTTTCTTTGTATTTTGGATACAGACAGTTTCGCCATGTTGCCCAGGCTGGTCTTGAATTCCTGAGCTCAGGTAATCCACCCCCCTGGGCTCCCAAAGTGCTGGGATTGTAGGTGTGAGCCACCACGCCTGGCCTTGTTGCATTGATTTCTTCTCTTATCATTGCCATCCCTTTGCTAGTTTGTTAAGGTAAAAGGTTAGATTATCAATTTTGGACCTTTCTCTTTTTTTTTTTTTGAGACAGAGTCTCGCCCTGTCACTCAGGTTGGAGTGCAGTGGCGCGATCTCTGCTCACTGCAAGCTCCGTCTCCCGGGTTCACGCCATTCTCCTGCTTCAGCTCCCAAGTAGCTGGGACTACAGGTGCCCACCACCACACCCGGCTAATATTTTTTTTTGTATTTTTACTACGACGCGGTTTCACCGTGTTTGCGAGGATGGTCTCGATCTCCTGACCACCACCTGATCAGCTTGCCTCGGCCTCCCAAAGTGTTGGGATTATAGGTGTGAGCCACCGCACCTGGCCTGGACCTTTCTCTTTTTCTTTTTTTTTTTTTTTGAGATGGAGTCTCACTCTCTCACCCAGGCTGGAGTGCAGTGGCGCGATCTCAGCTCACTGCAACCTCCGCCCTCTGAGTTCAAGCGATTCTCCTGCCTCAGTCTCCCGAGTAGCTAGGATTACAGATGCCTGCCACCGCACCCGGCTAATTTTTTTGTGTGTTTTTAGTAGAGACAGGGTTTCACCATCTTGGCCAGGCTGGTCTTGAACTCTTGACCTCGTGATCCACCTGCCTCGTCCTCCCAAAGTGCTGGGATTACAGGCGTGAGCCACCGTGCCCAGCTGACCTTTCTCGTTTTTTTTTGTTTGAGACGGAGTCTTGCTCTGTCGCCCAGGCTGGAGTGCAGTGGCGCAATCTTGGCTCACTGCAACTTCCGCCTCCTGGGTTTGTGTCATTCTCCTGCCTCAGCCTCCTGAGTAGCTGGGACTATAGTCGCCTGCCACCATGCTCAGCTAATTTTTTGTATTTGTAGTAGAGACGGGTTTCACCGTGTTAGCTGGGATGGTCTTGATCTCCTGACCTCGTGATCCACCCACCTCAGCCTCCCAAAGTGCTGGGATTACAGGGGTGAGCCACCGTGCCTGGCCAACCTTTCTCTTTTTCTAATAGTATTATTCACTTCTGTAAATTTTCCTCTCAGCATTGCTTTAGCTGCATTCCTCCCTTTTTTTTTTTTTTTTTTTTTGAGGCAGAGTCTCACATTTTCGCCCGGGCTAGAGTGCAGTGGCACGATCTCGGCTCACTGCAACCTCCGCCTACCCTGTTCAAGCGATTCTCCTGCCTCAGCCTCCCAAGTAGCTGGGATTACAGGTGCCCGCCACCACACCCAGCTAATTTTTTTTTGTATTTTTAGTAGAGACAGGTTTTTACCATGTTGGCCAGGCTGGTCTTGAACTCGTGACCTCGTGATTCACCCGCCTTGGCTTCCCAAAGTGCTGGGCTTACAGATATGAGCCATCGTGCCCGGCCCCATTCCTCACATTTTAATATGTTGTGTTTTCATTTTTATTTAGTTAAAAGTATATTCTAATTTCCCTTATGAGTTCATATTTCACCTTAGGTTGTTTCAAATTATGCTGTTTACATATTTGGGGGTTTCCCTTATTAGTTTCTGCTTTGATTCCATTATGATTAGGAAACATGTTGTATATGATCTTAGTTTTAAAAAATGTATCAAGATTTTTTTTTTAATAATTAATTCATTTAGAGGTGGGATCTCACTCTTGCCTAGGTTGGACCCAAACTCCTGGGCGCAAGCGATCCTCCTGCCTCAGCCTTCCAAAGAGTTGGGATTACGGGCATGAGCTACTGCACCTGGCTGAGGCTGACTTTTTGATGTCCTAGCGTACAGTCTCTCTTGGTGCCTGTCCTATGTGTGCTGGAAAATATCTGTTAATCTGTATTCTGCTATTGTTAGGTTGAGTGTTTTACAAACATTAGGTCCAGTCAGTTGGTTACATTGCTTAAGTCTTCTATATCCTTAGTGATATTTTTTGTATACTTCTATCGATTACTGAGGAGTATTAGAAATCTCTAGTAATCCCAGCAGTTTGGGAGGCTGAGGCTGGTGGATTGCTTGAGCACAGGAGTTCGAGACCAGCCTGGGCAACATAGCGAAACCCCATTTCTACAAAAAAAATACAAAAATTAGCTGGGTGTGGTGGTACACGCCTGTAGTCCCAGGTGCTTGGGAGGCTGAGGCGGGAGAGTCTCCTGAGCCTGGGAGGTGGAGGCTGCAATGAGTGGAGATGGTGCCATTGCACTCTAGCCTGGGCAACAGAGCAAGACCCTGTCTTGCTTGAGAGAAAGATCCAACTACAGCTGTGAGTTTATTGTCTTTCAGGTCCATCATTTTTGAAATTCTGTTATTAGTTACATAATGTATTTAGGATTATTAGGTCTTCTGAACGAGTTGACTACTTTATCGTATCAAATATCCCTCTGTATTCCTGATAACATTCCATGGTCTGAAGTCTTTGTCTTAATCAGTAGTGCCACTCCAGCTTTGTTTTGTGTTTGCATGGGTGTATTTTTCCATCTTTTTACTGTTAATCTGTGTCTTTGTAACTAAAGTTTATTTCCTATAGACAGCATATAGTTGGCTCTTTTTTTTTTTTTTTTTTTTTTTTTTTTTGAGATGGAGTCTCTTCCTTGGTTGCCCAGGCTGGAGTGCAGTGGCATGATCTTGGCTCAGTGCAACCTCTGCCTCCCGAGTTCAAGCGATTCTTCTACCTCAGCCTCCCAAGAAACTGAGACTACAGGCGCGTGCCACCACGCTCAGCTAATTTTTGTATTTTTAGTAGAGACGGGGGGTCTCACCATGCTGTCCAGGCTGGTTTCGAACTCCTGACCCCGAGGCCCGCCTCAGCCTCCCAGAGTGCTGGGATTACAGGTGTGAGCCACCATGCCCGGCCTTTTTATTTAAATCCAATTTGACAATGTTTGCCTTACAAATGGTCTAAATACCTCAATTAAGGTTAATGTAACTATCAATGTGGCAATGTAGCTCAGTTTAAATCTACCGTCTTACTCTTTTTTTTTTAAATTATTTTTTCTGCTTTTCTCTTGTCCTGCCTTCTTCTGAATTTAGTTGTTTTGTGACTTTATCTCCACTTTTCACTTATTTGGCTACATGGTTTTTTTCTTATTGTTTGCTCTAAGGTTTACAGTATATACATAGCTCACTTACTGTGATCTACTTTGACCATTAGTCTACTACGGATCACTTCACATATAGTACAAGAACCTTAGAATAATACACTTTAAGTTCCACTCCCACTCTTAGTAGTATTTTTGTCATAACATTTTAATTGTACATGTATTATAAGTGCTATAATACTTTGTTACTCTTTTTGCTTTGAACAGCCTTTATCTTTTGTAGAAATTGCAAAATGAGAAAAAATATTTTTTTGCATTTTACCCACATACTTACCATTTCTGGTGTTCTTCACTAGTTTGTATAGCTCCATCTGGTGTGCTTTTTTTTTTCTTTTTCTTTTCTTTTTTTTTTTTTTGAGACACAGTCTTGCTCTGTCTCCCAGGCTGGAGTGCAGTGGTGCGATCTCAGCTCACTGCAACCTCTGCCTCCTGGGTTCAATTTCTGTATTTTTAGTAGAGACGGTTTCATGTTGGCCAGGCTGGTCTTGAACTCCTGACCTCAGGTGATCCACCCACCTCGGCCTCCCAAAGTGCTGGCATGACAGGCGTGAGCCACCACACCTGGCCCAGGGGAACCATTTTTTTTTTTTTTTCCCCTGAGATGGAGTCTCGCTGTGTTGCCCAGGCTGGAATGCAGTGGCACAATCTCAGCTCACTGCAACCTCCACCTCCCAGGTTCAAGCGATTCTCTTGCCTCAGCCTTCTGAGTAGCTGGGATTACAGGCGTCTGCCACCACACCCGGCTAATTCTTGTATTTTTAGTAGAAACAGGGTTTTGCCATGTTGGCCAGGCTGGTCTCCAACTCCCGGGCTCAAGCAGTCCTCCCACCTTGGCCTCCCAAAGTGCTGGGATTATAGGCATGAGCCATCGCGCCCAGCCTCATTGTGTTTTGCTTTCTATTTCCCTAGTGACTAATGATGTTGAACTCAAATCTTTCTTTAGTAGTAGGGATAAAACTAACTGCATCAAGTAGTCTCCACCCTCCCCGCCCCTGGCTCATCTGTAATTTACTTTTTTTTCTACTACCTTTAGATTGTGAATAAGTGGAATACAGCTCTCATTGGCCTTATGACATACTTTCGGGAGGCTGTGGTGAACACCCAAGAGCTCTTGGACTTACTGGTGAAGTGTGAGAACAAAATCCAGACACGTATCAAGATTGGACTCAACTCCAAGATGCCAAGTCGGTTCCCCCCGGTTGTGTTCTACACCCCTAAGGAGTTGGGTGGACTCGGCATGCTCTCAATGGGCCATGTGCTCATCCCCCAATCCGACCTCAGGTACAGCCTGGTTCAACGTATTTCTAAACCCTATTGCTCAGGCCCTAAGGGAAGTGGGTATTTCTTTAGTTTTAGGCTTTATTTTTTCTGTAATCTTGGTTGTACACCCAAACAGGTGGTCCAAACAGACAGATGTAGGTATCACACACTTTCGTTCAGGAATGAGCCATGAAGAAGACCAGCTCATTCCCAACTTGTACCGCTACATACAGCCATGGGAGAGCGAGTTCATTGATTCTCAGCGGGTCTGGGCTGAGTACGCACTCAAGAGGCAAGAGGCCATTGCTCAGAACAGGTGGGCACCTAGGAGGGCATGCCAACCCTGGGGCAGGGGCAGTGGTGGCCTTTGAACCGTGTGGAGTTCAGGGTCAGAGCATGCCATGGTTGTATGGAGGTGAGAAGGCTGGTTCTACTGACCCTAATTATTTTTGGCCAGGAAGGAGTGCTGAGCTCCTCATATGAGATCACGTTTTGACTTGAATCTTTCTTTTTTTGGAAGACGCCTGACTTTAGAAGACCTAGAAGATTCATGGGATCGTGGCATTCCTCGAATCAATACCCTCTTCCAGAAGGACCGGCACACACTGGCTTATGATAAGGGCTGGCGTGTCAGAACTGACTTTAAGCAGTATCAGGTATGTAGAGGGAGCAGATTTTCCCTGAGTCAGGAAAATCCATGGCTATCCCCGAAACTTGGGGCAATAGGCACCCAGAAGCTTGACCGTGCCTGCCTTGCCATCTAGGTTTTGAAGCAGAATCCGTTCTGGTGGACACACCAGCGGCATGATGGGAAGCTCTGGAACCTGAACAACTACCGTACAGACATGATCCAGGCCCTGGGCGGTGTGGAAGGCATTCTGGAACACACACTCTTTAAGGGCACTTACTTCCCTACCTGGGAGGGGCTTTTCTGGTGAGGATTCTCCTCTCTTAGAGGGACCTGTCACAACCCTTTGAGCTCATCTCTTGTATGCCTCTGTGATTTCCTGTGGTGTTTCCCAGACAGCCACCTCCAGGAGGTTAGCAGTGTGCTGGGAAATGGCAGGATATCACCTCACCTGCTTCTCTTGCTCCCCAGGGAGAAGGCCAGTGGCTTTGAGGAATCTATGAAGTGGAAGAAGCTAACTAATGCTCAGCGATCAGGACTGAACCAGATTCCCAATCGTAGATTCACCCTCTGGTGGTCCCCGACCATTAATCGAGCCAATGTGAGTGTGATTGACACTGGAGAGGGGAAGCTAAAGACAGTTGCTGCTTCTTGCCTTGGTTATGTCGTGAGCGCCCGAGTCTCTTGATCTCTAATGTCACATTGTCGTTTTCCTGGCAGGTATATGTAGGCTTTCAGGTGCAGCTAGACCTGACGGGTATCTTCATGCACGGCAAGATCCCCACGCTGAAGATCTCTCTCATCCAGATCTTCCGAGCTCACTTGTGGCAGAAGATCCATGAGAGCATTGTTATGGACTTATGTCAGGTGGGCTGGAATCGAGGGGAGAGGGTACTGTAGAGAGTCAGCTCAGGTGGAATTGAGGGGAGAGGGTACTGTACAGAGTCAGCTCAGGTGGAATCGAGGGGAGAGGGTACTGTACAGAGTCAGCTCAGGTGGAATCGTGGGGAGAGGGTACTGTAGAGAGTCAGCTCAGGTGGAATCGCAGGGAGAGGGTGCTGTACAGAGTCAGCTTAGGTGGAATCGCGGGGAGAGGGTGCTGTACAGAGTCAGCTCAGGTGGAATCGCGGGGAGAGCGTGCTGTACAGAGTCAGCTCAGCTTGCTCTTTTGCATATGGGAAATCCACCCTGGAAGCTCTGAGGATGAGACTCCTATTGCCTCATTATCTTATTGTACAAACTCTGATTTTAATTGGGCTTCCTTAACAAGTCTTAATCTCTCCATGTTTTCCTTCAGGTGTTTGACCAGGAACTTGATGCACTGGAAATTGAGACAGTACAAAAGGAGACAATCCATCCCCGAAAGTCATATAAGATGAACTCTTCCTGTGCAGATATCCTGCTCTTTGCCTCCTATAAGTGGAATGTCTCCCGGCCCTCATTGCTGGCTGACTCCAAGTAAGTGCCTCAGGACCCAGCCCTAGGCAGCCAGGACACTTTCGTTTTCCTGTTCTTCTAGCCCTGCAACTTTAGGAATTGTCCTGTCTGCCTTTGTTTCAAACTTGGAGCCAGTGCTACGCTTGGAGCCTGTCAACACCCTTAGTCAGATCTGCTGATTCTCTGGGGTCCTGCTGACCTGGAACAAGTTGGTGGAGTGGGTGGGATGGTTTTGGGATTTAAGTGGTTCTGGTTCTGGGGACATTGGTTATGCCCATGGTTTCTTAGAAGCTTGAACCCTCTTCATCCTCAGGGATGTGATGGACAGCACCACCACCCAGAAATACTGGATTGACATCCAGTTGCGCTGGGGGGACTATGATTCCCACGACATTGAGCGCTACGCCCGGGCCAAGTTCCTGGACTACACCACCGACAACATGAGTATCTACCCTTCGCCCACAGGTGTACTCATCGCCATTGACCTGGCCTATAACTTGCACAGGTGAGTTGAGGCTCAGGACCATGTATTTTCAGGCCAGGCGCAGTGGCTCACACCTGTAATCCCAGCACTTTGGGAGGCCGCGGTGGGCAGATTGTCTGAGCTCAGGAGTTTGAGACCAGTCTGGGCAACATGGTGAAACCCTGTCTCTACCAAAATACAAAAAATTAGCTGGGCGTGGTGGTCCACGCCTGTAGTCCCAGCTACTCAGAAGGTTGAGGTGGGAGAATTACTTGAACCCGGGAGGCGGAGCTTGCAGTGAACCGAGATTGCGCCACTGCACTCCAGCCTGGGCGACAGAGTGAGACTCCATCTCAAAGAAAAATAATAATAATAATAAATAAATAAATAATCCGTGTATTTTCCATTAGCTCCATACTTTAACGTAGTCATACTTTTTTACTTTACCTAAGTGAGAGGAAGTGGCCCATTCCTCCTATGGGTCACTGATTCTCTTCTCCAGCCTGTATGTACACATGAGCAGAGTGTTGTCAGCCTGGCGAACAGTCTTTCTTCCTCTGTAGAGTTGGCAGCTTGTCTTGTTTCTGGGGCTGTCATTCTCGTCTTAACTTTTCTTGACCCTTTTATCCTCACAGTGCCTATGGAAACTGGTTCCCAGGCAGCAAGCCTCTCATACAACAGGCCATGGCCAAGATCATGAAGGCAAACCCTGCCCTGTATGTGTTACGTGAACGGATCCGCAAGGGGCTACAGCTCTATTCATCTGAACCCACTGAGCCTTATTTGTCTTCTCAGAACTATGGTGAGCTCTTCTCCAACCAGATTATCTGGTTTGTGGATGACACCAACGTCTACAGAGTGACTATTCACAAGGTGAGTGTTAGCAGCAGTGTATAGGTGCGGGACTCTGTACATGGCTGTGGGAGAGTAATGGGCTAAGTGTGTACACATGCTGGGAAGAAGGCAGGATGGGGATGTGTTGTGTAGGCCATGCTAACGAATGCCGTCCTCCTCTAGACCTTTGAAGGGAACTTGACAACCAAGCCCATCAACGGAGCCATCTTCATCTTCAACCCACGCACAGGGCAGCTGTTCCTCAAGATAATCCACACGTCCGTGTGGGCGGGACAGAAGCGTTTGGGGCAGGTGAGCAGGTTTAAAGATGAAGAGGCTGTAGAACCATGTTGCCTCTTATTCTTGGGGTGGACTTGGTAATATTTACTGGTTTATTAGATGAAAGGCTGAGAACATCTCATTTGAACTTATCCCCAAAATACCTTGGGAAGTATTCTGTGGGAGGTCCAAGAGTGTATGAGGTGCTTCGTTCCCTTCCAGCTGGTCTGTTTCCTGAATTTCTAACCTTGAACAGGGCTATCAAAAATCATTTTTCCAAAGGCAACGCATACTCTTTTTTTTTTTTTTTTTTTTTAGCCGGAGTCTCGCTGTGTGGCCCAGGCTGGAGCACAGTGGCTCAATCTCGGTTCACTGCAAGCTCCGCCTCCCGGGTTCACGCCATTCTCCTGCCTTAGCCTCCCGAGTAGCTGGGACTACAGGCGCCCGCCACCACGCCTGGCTAATTTTTTTTGTATTTTTTAGTAGAGACAGGGTTTCAACGTGTTAGCCAGGATGGTCTCGATCTCCTGACTTTGTGATCTGCCTGCCTCTGCCTCTGCCTCCCAAAGTGCTCGGATTACAGGTGTGAGCCACTGCTCCTGGCCAGCAATGCATATTCTCTTTTTTTTTTTTTTTTTTTGAGACGGAGTCTTGCTCTGTTGCCCAGGCTGGAATGCAGTGGCCTGATTTCAGCTCACTGCAAGCTCCGCCTCCCAGGTTCACGCCATTCTCCTGCCTCAGCCTCCCGAGTAGCTGGGACTACAGGTGCCCGCCACCACGCCCGGCTAAATTTTTTGTATTTTTAGTAGAGACGGGGTTTCACCATGTTGGCCAGGATGGTCTCAATCTCCTGACCTCGTGATCCGCCCGCCTTGGCCTCTCAAAGTGCTGGGATTACAGGCTTGAGCCACCGTGCCCGGCCCAGCAACGCATATTCTTGAAACATCCACTTTGACCAAATCTCTTCTCTACCTCACAACTCTTGCTGAATTAACTCTTCTTTAGCTTCCTAGACGTTCAACATCTGGCTGGGCTGTATCTGTCCAGCCAGTTTCTCTTCCTTTACATTTATAGCATGTTTCATCTTACATTCAGTCCAGGATCTTAGTAGCCCAAACCCCTGATGCTCATCTCCAAATCTGTGTTTTGCTTGTATTTTTCTTTCTAGAATGAACTCCCCTCTTTGCTCTGTTAATCACAGTCCCTCCTTAAGACACGTTTTTTTGTGCAGCTTTTTTCTGATCCTAGTAGCCTTAATTTCTTTTGTTCCTGAACTCTGTAAAACAGTGTATAGTTTAGCACATACTCATGTGTCAGCTTGTGGTATTGTCTTGTTGAAAGGGGCTGTCAGCCTGGTCATTGGACACGGCCATTTGATACTCTTTGTACCTTCTAAGTGCCTAACATTTAACATCAGTGTTCAATAGAAACGTAGTTGGATTATTTCAAAACTAGGATATTCTGTTCTAGTTGATCTGGGAGGGTAGAGACTAAATTTCCATTTTCTTCTCTCTTGCTTTTAAGTTGGCTAAGTGGAAGACAGCTGAGGAGGTGGCCGCCCTGATCCGATCTCTGCCTGTGGAGGAGCAGCCCAAGCAGATCATTGTCACCAGGAAGGGCATGCTGGACCCACTGGAGGTAAGAGGGTGGGGTGGGGTAGGAGAAAAGAGACCTTGAGACCTTCAGGCTGTTTCTCATCTTGGACTTGATCTTGTCTTAGGTGCACTTACTGGACTTCCCCAATATTGTCATCAAAGGATCGGAGCTCCAACTCCCTTTCCAGGCGTGTCTCAAGGTGGAAAAATTCGGGGATCTCATCCTTAAAGCCACTGAGCCCCAGATGGTTCTCTTCAACCTCTATGACGACTGGCTCAAGACTATTTCATCTTACACGGTATGAACCTCGGGAAGAGAAGATCGCTGGAGGAGGAGCGGGTTTAGGGTTAGGAGAAGATCCTGTGTCAGGTTTTTGCCATTTTCACATTTTTAGCCTATAGATTGGGTGGGAACTCTGTTGACTTTCATGAGAGTTTAAGACCTTAAAGTTAAAAATCAACTCTTGGGGCCGGGCGTGGTGGCTCACGCCCGTAATCCCAGCACTTTGGGAGGCTGAGTTGGGTGAATCACCTGAGGTCAGGAGTTTGAGATCAGGCTGGCCAACATGACGAGACCCCATCTCTACTAAAAATACAACAAAATTAGCCGAGTGTGCTGGGATGCACCTGTAGTCCCAGCTACTCGGGAGGCTGAGGCACCAGAATCACTGGAACCCAGGAGGCAGAGGTTGCAGTGAGCCGAGATGGCACCATTGCACTCCAGCCTGGGCGACAGAGTAAGACTGTCTAAAAAAAAAAAAAAAAAGGCCGGGCGCAGTGGCTCACGCCTGTAATCCCAGCACTTTGGGAGGCCGAGGCGGCGGATCACGAGGTCAGGAGATTGAGACCATCCTGGCTAACACAGTGAAACCCCATCTCTACTAAAAATACAAAAAATTAGCCGGGCGTGGTGGCAGGTGCCTGTCATCCCAGCTATTCGGGAGGCTGAGGCAGGAGAATGGTATGAACCTGGGAGGCGGAGCTTGCAGTGAGCCGAGATCATGCCACTGCACTCCAGCCTGGGCGACAGAGCAAGACTCTGTCTCAAAAGAAAAAAAAAAAATTCTTGGGTTTCATGAAAGGTTAGGATTAAAGTGGGAGAGCCTCAAGCAGCTGACCTACCCCACTCTTCCAAATCTTTTCCCAGGCCTTCTCCCGTCTCATCCTGATTCTGCGTGCCCTACATGTGAACAACGATCGGGCAAAAGTGATCCTGAAGCCAGACAAGACTACTATTACAGAACCACACCACATCTGGCCCACTCTGACTGACGAAGAATGGATCAAGGTCGAGGTGCAGCTCAAGGATCTGATCTTGGCTGACTACGGCAAGAAAAACAAGTGAGCAGTGCTGGTGGGGACACAGACAGGAGGTCTATATACGGTTTTCTGGGGTTTTTTGGAAGCACTTAGGCTTAGAAGTTTCTCAAGAAGGCCAGGCGCGGTGGCTCATGCCTGTAATCCCAGCACTTTGGGAGGCCAAGGTGGGTAGATCATTTGAGGTCAGGAGTTTGAAACCATCCTGGCCAACGTGGTGAAACTCCGTCTCTACTAAAAATACAAAAGTTAGCCGGGTGCGATGGCGCCTACCTGTAATCCCAGCTACTCGGGAGGCTGAGGCAGGAGAATTGCTTGAACCTGGGGGCAGAGGTTGCAGTGAGCCGAGATCATGCCACTGCACTCCAGCCTGGGCGACAAGAGTGAGACTGTCTCCAAAAAAAAAAAAAAAAAAGACGTTTCTCAAGAAATTATCTTGTCTTAGCCAGGCTTGAGTGCTCATGCTAGTAATACCAGCACTTTGGGAGGCCAAGGTGGGAGGATTGCATGAGCCAGGAGTTGAAACCAGCCTGATCAACAAGAGACTGACGCCATCTCTACCAAAAAAAAAAAATTTAAAACAGGTGTGGTGGTACACGCTTGTAGTCCCAGCTTCTTGGAGGCTGAGGCAGGAGGCTTGCTTGAGCCCGGGGGTTTGAGGCTGCAGTGAGCCATGATGATGCCACTGTACTCCAGCCTGGGTAACAGAGCGAGACTCTTGTCTTGAAAACAAGGAAAGAAATTATCTTACAGAGTCTCGAGGAAGAGAGATACAGCAGTGTCTTCGAATAGTATGGGAAGCATCCCTGTTTTAGGGCTTCAGTCTGACTCTTGGCCATTGTTTCTCACTGTTGCCATTTCAAACAGGGCATTTCTTTACTGTCCATACATGGGAAGAATTTTGAACATCCGAGACCCTAAGTATCCGAGACTGCTGCCAACACACACACACACCTTCCTCCCCTCGTCTCCCTCCCTGTCATCGTGGCAACCAAAATTATCCATAGGGTGACGGACAATACCACCTCTGATTAAGAACCAGTATTCTAGGGTTTCTGGGGTTTCCATTTCTGAGAACAGTTCCATGCCAGAGCATTGTTTTGGTCAAGGAAGCGTAGGGTTTATGGATGCTAAACAGTGGGAAGGTGCACACGCAGTGTGCTGTCCCGCTTGGATCTGACGAATCTTGGAAGTGTTAGTGCACCTCCGTTTCACACTTCCTGTAGAAGCAGCTCTTGTGGATTGTCTGGGGCGTGAGTATAGGCTGTCCTGTCCTACCAAGTTACACCCTTTCCATTGAGGCAGAAGTGACCAAGGGGAAGGGATCCTTGTAATATAACCCACACCATCCCCACAGTGTGAACGTGGCATCACTGACACAATCAGAAATTCGAGACATCATCCTGGGTATGGAGATCTCGGCACCGTCACAGCAGCGGCAGCAGATCGCTGAGATCGAGAAGCAGACCAAGGAACAATCGCAGCTGACGGCAACACAGACTCGCACTGTCAACAAGCATGGCGATGAGATCATCACCTCCACCACCAGCAACTATGAGACCCAGACTTTCTCATCCAAGACTGAGTGGAGGGTCAGGTACTGTCGGGCAAGAGGGTGGGGATGGAAAGGCCGGCTGCACTACCTAAGGTGCTGGGCTGAGCGATGCTGACACTCCCTGCCTGTTTTTAGGGCCATCTCTGCTGCCAACCTGCACCTAAGGACCAATCACATCTATGTTTCATCTGACGACATCAAGGAGACTGGCTACACCTACATCCTTCCCAAGAATGTGCTTAAGAAGTTCATCTGCATATCTGACCTTCGGGCCCAAGTGAGTAAGTGGACTCAGCTAGGCCACAGTGTGTGCCCAACTCATTTTGTGCCTAAAACTCAGACCTGAGATTGTCTGGAACTTGAGATGCTGGTTTCAAGATTCATGGATGAGTAATTATACAAGGATAGCCAAAACAACGAGGTGGGTTTTGGCCCCATGAGATAGCAAAAGCTGTGGCAGCTGAGAGAAGGTAGTAATTGTAGTATTGGCCTGATAGTATTTGGAAGAGAACAGATATGGTCAGAAACAAATTCCTGACCAGGTGTGCGTGCTGGCTCATGCCTGTAATCCCAACACTCGGCTGGGCACAGTGGCTAATGCCTATAATCCCAGCACTTTGGGAGGCCTAGGTGGGTGGATCACCTGAGGTCAGGGGTTTGAGACCAGCCTGACCAATATGGTGAAACCCTGTCTCTACTAAAAATACAAAAAATTAGCCAGGCATGGTGGCATGCGCCCGTAGTTGCAGCTACTAGGGAGGTTGAGACAGGAGAATTGCTTGAACCCGGGAGGTGAGGTGGAGCTTGCAGTGAGCCAAGATTGCATCACTGCACTCCAGCCTGGGCAACAGAGCAAGACCCCGTCTAAAAAAACAAAACCAAAAAAAACGTGGCTGTAGTCCCAGCTACTCAGGAGGATGAGGTTGCTTGAACGCAAGCAGTGAGCTTTGATGACCCCACTGCACTCCAGGCTGGGCACAGTGGCTCATGACTGTAATCCCAGCACTGTGGGAGGCCGAGGTGGGCAGATCTTTTGAGCCCAGGAGTTCGAGACCAGCCTGGGCAACATGACGAAATGGAGTCTCTACAAAAAAAAAAAAAAAAAACTAGCCAGGCATGGTGGCATACACCTGTAATCTCAGCTACTCAGGAGGCTGAGGTGGGAGGATCACCTGATCCTGGAGGGTGGTGAGTGTAGTGAGCTGAGATCATGTCACTGCCTGCTAGCCTGGGTGACAGAGTGATACCCTGCTTCAAAAAAGAGAAAAGATGCATAACTTTACTAGTGTATCAGGGATATTATAGTTTATAAAACATCATTTTGGGCCAAGGTGGGTGAATCACTTGAGGTCAGGAGTTCAAGACCAGCTTGGCCAACGTGGCGAAACCCCGTCTCTCTTAAATATATGAAAATTAGCGGGGCATGGTGGCATGTGCCTGTAGTCCCAGCTACTCAGGAAGCTGAGGCAGGAGAATTGCTTGAACCCAGGAGGCGGAGGTCGCAGTGAGCTGAGATCACACCACTGCACTCCAGCCTTGCTGACAGAGTGAGACTCCATCTCAAACCCACTATTTAGTGGCTGTCAGGTTGGCAAATTTGAAAAGATTGTTAATATCCTGTGTGGGTGAGTTTATAGTAAACAGATCCTCTTTCTTTCTTGGTGATAATGTAAAACTTAAAATAGCACCAAGTGCTGGTTTTCCAGATGTTTTCAGCTTGTGAAAATACACTGAGCTGCATGTGTGCTCATTTGCTTGTGAATACTATGCTTAATAATCAGCTGGGGAGCTTGTGAGCAGTGCAGATTCCTGGACCCCACTCAGGAGATTCTGATGTGGTAAGTCCGCGATGAGGTCCATGTCTAACATTTTGAACAAGCACCCCAGCTGATTCTGATACAGGGGGTTCTGATCACGTTTTAAGAAACTCTGTCCTCGTTCTTGGGGGAAGGAAGGAAACAGAGGGCTGGCAGCTCCAACTCTGACCTGGTACTAAGAAGAGTTTTGGTTCCTGACCCCTTTGTCTCCAGATTGCAGGATACCTATATGGGGTGAGCCCACCAGATAACCCCCAGGTGAAGGAGATCCGCTGCATTGTGATGGTGCCGCAGTGGGGCACTCACCAGACCGTGCACCTGCCTGGCCAGCTGCCCCAGCATGAGTACCTCAAGGTAATGGGGAGTGATGGAGCCTGGGAGTGTGGAAAAGCTGGTGCGATTCCTGTCTGTGGATGGGATTCAGCTCTGTACTCCTCTTTACCTATAGGAGATGGAACCCTTAGGTTGGATCCACACTCAGCCCAATGAGTCCCCGCAGTTATCACCCCAGGATGTCACCACCCATGCCAAGATCATGGCTGACAACCCATCTTGGGATGGCGAGAAGACCATTATCATCACATGCAGGTGGGCCTGGGCTCCTTGGGAGGAAGTATGGTGGGGCAGGGATTGCAGGCCAGGGCCCAGAACAGTGGCCTGAGCTGTTACTCTGTCCTCGTTCCTCCCCCAGCTTCACGCCAGGCTCCTGTACACTGACGGCCTACAAGCTGACCCCCAGTGGCTACGAATGGGGCCGCCAGAACACAGACAAGGGCAACAACCCCAAGGGCTACCTGCCTTCACACTATGAGAGGGTGCAGATGCTGCTGTCGGACCGTTTCCTTGGCTTCTTCATGGTCCCTGCCCAGTCCTCGTGGAACTACAACTTCATGGGTAAGTGGGAGGAGCCTGGGGATGTGGGGATAGCAGTAGGGATAAGGTGAGGCCATCGCCCTTTGCACTTGGGGCCTGGCTGGCTTGGAGGTGGCGCAGGCTGCATGAGGCAGGAGCCCTGTTAACATTGGCTGTTTCCTTCTCCCCGAAGGTGTTCGGCATGACCCCAACATGAAATATGAGCTACAGCTGGCGAACCCCAAAGAGTTCTACCACGAGGTGCACAGGCCCTCTCACTTCCTCAACTTTGCTCTCCTGCAGGAGGGGGAGGTTTACTCTGCGGATCGGGAGGACCTGTATGCCTGACCGTTTCCCTGCCTCCTGCTTCAGCCTCCCGAGGCCGAAGCCTCAGCCCCTCCAGACAGGCCGCTGACATTCAGCAGTTTGGCCTCTTTCCCTCTGTCTGTGCTTGTGTTGTTGACCTCCTGATGGCTTGTCATCCTGAATAAAATATAATAATAAATTTTGTATAAATAGGAGTTCAGGGGCTGGTTTGTTTTTTTTTTCCCCCCCAAACTCAAATTCTGGATTTAGGTCTAACAGGAGGCTGGACTGGAGCGGTTCACAGCAAGATGCTGGGCTCGGCTGTGAAGGGGGGAGTATGAGGCCCCCTTCCTATTCAGGGCTTTGGGGTAGATAGCCCCTGGACTCAGTGGAGACCTGAGGCAGGGCTGGGCTTTCACACTCCGCTGCCTTGACCACATTTGCTGCTTTTTCCACAAAACTACTTGGAAGCTCTCGCCTCCTTTCCACAGTTTTGGGAGCAGTTGCCCTTTCCCGGGTCTAGGAACTCTGTGGCTTGTGCTGAGCGGCTGCGGTGTCCAGCCCAGCCCTTTAAGCTTTCTGTGTCAGTCCTGGTCAGGAAAACAAGCACACAGGCAGGCAGTTTGTGTACAGCCGGGCGGAGGCCAGAGACCGGCTGCCTACCTGTCACCTCTCGCCTGGAGCGGGCCACTGCCAAGTTGGCCCCATGACTCCAAACGGGCGGAGCCTGGATTGGGCCTGTGGGGAGGGCTCCACTCAAGTGACCACTTGCAGCCCTGAACCTCAGCTCTTGGACGCCTGGCTGGAAGTTGGCTGTCTTGTTTCCTGTGACCTTGGGGGTGGAAAGGACAGAGCCCAGGCGACCTAGGGCACTATCTCCCTACCCCACGCCTTCTCCCTTCCTCGTTCCTCCCTACCCTTATCGCTTCTACCCCGCCCACACCGCCCTAAACGGCTTCCTGGGGCGGAACTGTTTCGCTTTTCCCCGTCCCAGTGGAGGGTGGGG
This sequence comes from Homo sapiens, assembly GCF_000001405.40. NCBI lineage: Eukaryota > Metazoa > Chordata > Mammalia > Primates > Hominidae > Homo > Homo sapiens. Next base: position 1,649,837 of record NC_000017.11, on the reverse strand, counting down.
TGGGGGGGTCGCAGCCCTAAGCCTCTGGGAGACATGGAGCCCAGGAGGGCGGCGCCCGGGGTGCCTGGCTGGGGGTCTCGGGAGGCCGCGGGGTCGGCATCGGCCGCGGAGCTTGTGTACCATCTAGCCGGGGCCCTGGGCACTGAGCTGCAGGATCTGGCGCGCCGTTTCGGGCCGGAGGCGGCGGCCGGGCTGGTGCCGCTAGTGGTGCGGGCGCTGGAGCTCTTGGAACAGGCTGCCGTGGGGCCCGCCCCGGACTCGGTGAGTCATGGCCCTCCCTTCGCCACCCACGGGGCCGGCAGGGCCGAAGCCTGAGACCCGGGTCTCCCCAGCTGCAGGTGTCGGCGCAGCCGGCGGAGCAGGAGCTGCGGCGGCTGCGGGAGGAGAACGAGCGCCTCCGCAGGGAGCTGCGCGCGGGGCCACAGGGTAAGCGCAGCCCCGGCCAGGGCAGGGCGGGTGACGACCTGCTCGGGTCCTCCCCTCCCTCCCGCGGGCCGCGCGCCGCCGCCGCTAAGAACGCCCCTTCCTCAGAGGAGCGCGCGCTGCTGCGGCAGCTCAAGGAGGTCACGGACCGACAGCGGGACGAACTCCGGGCGCACAACCGCGACCTGCGGCAGCGCGGCCAGGAGACCGAGGCGGTGAGGGCGGGGCGGGGCTCTGGGGCGGGGCGGGGGCGGAGCGTGGCAGGCGCTGGGCGGGGCTCCGGGGGCGGGGGCGGAGCGAGGCAGGCGCTGGGCGGGGCTCCGGGGGGCCCTCGGTGCCCCGCCCACCCCACCCTTTGCTCCGCTCCCAGTTGCAGGAGCAGCTGCAGCGCCTCCTGCTGGTGAACGCTGAGCTGCGGCACAAGCTGGCGGCCATGCAGACCCAGCTGCGCGCCGCGCAGGACCGCGAGAGGGAGCGCCAGCAGCCTGGCGAAGCCGCGACTCCGCAGGCTAAAGAGCGAGCGCGGGGGCAGGCCGGGCGGCCCGGGCACCAGCACGGACAGGAGCCCGAATGGGCGACCGCCGGCGCAGGCGCCCCAGGGAACCCTGAGGACCCGGTGAGTGCCGTATGAGGGCAAGGACCCAGCCCAGGACGCAGCGTCCAGCCCTCGGTGGGCACTCAAGCAAGGTTTGCATGCTGCACAGCAGGTCGGCCAGGAAGCGGGGAGGTGGCAGACAGATCTGCGCCCCCGGCCGGCCTCGGCCCCCGCTCTCAGCTGGAGCACTGCTCTGTTATCTGTTAGGGCACCCTTGTCCCCCAAGTCTCCCGGCCCGTCACTTCCTCTAGCATTCCCATGATGGCCCTGGGGCGGGGGAACGCCAGCCGAGGCGACCCTCTGACTGTGCCTGTCCTTCCAAAGGCGGAGGCCGCGCAGCAGCTCGGGCGCCCCTCGGAGGCAGGGCAGTGCCGCTTCAGTCGGGAGGAGTTTGAGCAGATCCTTCAGGAGCGGAATGAACTCAAAGCCAAAGTGTTCCTGCTCAAGGAGGAACTGGCCTACTTCCAGCGGTGAGGACGCTGGGAAGCCGGGGGGCCTCCGATCACCCCACCTCATTCTCCAGTCATTGACATGTCCACAGTGACATGTGCCAGGCCTGCGCTGGGAACTGGGAGGACATGAATTGTACAGCCCTTGCCCTCCTGCAATGTCATCCAGACAGGGGAGAGGGACAGTACAAAGGGTTGCAGCTGCAGCAGCCAGGGAATCTCTCCTAGGAGGGGGCCACGGGGCCACCTAATTTAAGGTCTGAGGGTGTCAGCAAGGCAGAGCGCTTCCCGTGTTCAGGGAAGAGCTGCGTGCACAGGTACCAGGAGTGAGGACTGCGGCTGGCATCTCCACTGCTGGCATCCCCATGGCTGGCATCACCAGGGCTTTCTCCCTCCCTGCCCCTTTTCTTTAGGGAGCTGCTCACAGACCACCGGGTCCCCGGCCTTCTGCTCGAGGCCATGAAGGTGGCTGTCCGGAAGCAGCGGAAGAAGATCAAGGCCAAGATGTTAGGGACACCAGAGGAAGCAGAGAGCAGGTAGGTCCCTGCCTGCATTCCCACGGAGCCAGGCCTCCCTCCCTCATTCTGCTGAGCCTGATGACCCAGCCTGGTCACCCTCTGAGCCCATTGTCTCAGACTGAGGCTGTCACCCCAACCCGGTCACCCCTTGAGCCTCCCTAGCCTGGCCGCTTCTAGGGCCTGCTGACCTGCTCTGGCTGTGTCCCATGGCCGCTGTCCAGCCTGCGCCCTTCTCCCTGGATCTCACCACTCCCCTTGCCTTGCCTGCCATCCATTCTGCCTGACAACACTGCCTCTCCACATTCATTCTTCAAGTTCCTGTCTTGGCTGGGTCTGTTTATTCTTACGGGGGTGAAACTGTAGCCGCGGCTGTGTCAGGGCCTGCTGTGTGTCAAGCTATAAAATAAACCCTTGGCAGGGCGCGGTGGCTCACGCCTGTAATCCCAGCACTTTGAGAGGCTAAGGTGGGTAGATCACCTGAGGTCAGGAGTTCGAGACCAGCGTGGCCAACATGGTGAAACTCCGTCTCTACTAAAAATACAAAAATTAGCCGGGCATGGTGGCATGTGCCTATAATCCCAGCTACTCAGGAGGCTGCGGCAGGAGAATCGCTTGAACTTGGGAGGCGGAGGTTGCAGTGAGCTGAGATCGCACCACTGCACTCCAGCCTGGGCGACAGAGTGAGACCCTGTCTCAAAAAAAAAAAAATTAAAAATTAAAGGCTCGACATCCTGCATCTCCCCAGGGTTGCCTTCTCTCCAGCCCCGGGGGCCCTGCAGTCCCTCCATCCCCCCTGCTGGATTCCTGTTGTCCCTCAGGGCCTTGATCAATGGCCCTCACTTCTCCTCTCTCCTCTGTCTCAGTGAGGATGAGGCTGGCCCATGGATCCTGCTCTCCGATGACAAGGGAGACCATCCCCCACCCCCGGAGTCCAAAATACAGAGTTTGTATGTTGGGGAAAGGGGAAAGGCAAGAGTGTGGGGAGGGAGGAAGGGCCCTGGCTGGTCCTTCTCAGGATCCCCTTTCCCGCTTCTCTGCCCGTCACCCTGCTGTGCTTGGCTCTAAGCACACCGTCCCCTCCTGCTTCTCTGGCCCTGGCCCCCATCACCTTCACACTCCCTCAGGCTGCCCTTTCTTCCCCCTCTCCCCTTTTCTCACCATCCCCTGCCCTCACCCATATCCTTGACCTCTCTGGCTTCCTGGCTCAAAGTGCCTCTGGCTGTCTCTCTCCAGCTTTGGCCTATGGTATCGGGGTAAAGCTGAATCCTCTGAGGATGAGACCAGCAGCCCTGCACCCAGCAAGCTAGGGGGAGAAGAGGAGGCCCAACCACAGTCTCCAGCTCCTGATCCGCCCTGTTCTGCCCTCCACGAACACCTTTGTCTGGGGGCCTCAGCCGCCCCAGAGGCCTGACTTAGGGGTCTGGCTGTGGAAGGATGTGTGGCCTCAAATGAGGACAGGGCTCCCGCCTTCACAGCCCTCGCCAGGGGTCTGCCCCAATCCTGGCCTGCATCAGGGCAGGACGGGGTCTCAGCCCGCCTCCCTCTCTACGTCTCTGTACCGAGCCTCTGGGGCCAGATATAAGAGTGCCTCTCTGAGTCTCAGTTTCCCCATCCATGAAATGAGAGCTGACTGCCTAGCTCCCAGGGCTTTGTGCAGACGGCCTGAGCTCATGTAATAAAGAACTGCCCGTAATACACAGAAACTGTTCCTCGCCTGTCTGTCCATGTCTGTGCCACCTCCCAACCCTGCCAGGAGCAGAGGCAGGCTGAGGGGTCCTCGCTGGTCTCCTTGCTCAGTCACTGGGTGGGGTGGCTTCTTGCAGCTCAGGCCTTGCTTTGGGAGTGTGGCCTGATGGAAAGCCGTGGCTCCCAGCCTCAGTCCACCCCCTTCCCTGGCCCCGGCACCCAGGGACCTGCAACTTCATTCTTCTGGCCCTTCCAGGCCCAGGCCAGTCAGCCCTGCCATTGCCTTTCTTTCCCTTTCTTTTTTTGAGTGTCAGTCTTTCCAGCCACCCCCTCCCTCTCAGGGAGGTGCCTCGTGGCAGCCCGCCCCTCCGGCCTGGTTTCCTCAGGAAAAGCCCTGAGAGGAAGCAGGGAGGGGGTTGGGAGCTGTGGGGGCCAGACGAACCCGAGCGCTCCCACCGAGCTGCCTGCCATGGGGCTGGGGCTGCTGCTCCCGCTGCTGCTGCTCTGGACTCGGGGGACTCAGGGGTCCGAGCTGGACCCCAAAGGGCAGCACGTCTGTGTGGCCAGCAGGTGGGTCTCGTGGGAGTCTGATGCGTGTGGCCAGCAGGTGGGTCTCGTGGGAGTCTGATGCGGGTGGCTGAACCGGTGTTGAGGCCGTTAGGGGAAGGAGGAGACTAGGAAGGGGGCTTAGGCTGAAAGGAAGGGACTGCTGATGGCGGTCTGGCAGGTAGTGGCCAGCCAGGGCAGATGGTGGAAGGGTCAGGGAAGGAGAGGGGAGGGGCTGGGGACCCTAGCTGTAAAGATCCATTAGGCCTCCCCAGGGGGCTAAGGCAGCCTCCCCCACTGCAGCCAGAGACAGTGATCCACCTTCCTCAGGGCCAGGCTGCACCCCCCACCATGTCCGGCTGACCCCTTTTTGCCCCACAGCCCCTCTGCTGAGCTGCAGTGCTGCGCAGGCTGGAGGCAGAAGGATCAAGAATGCACCATCCGTGAGTAGCCAGGACAGACCCTCAGCCAAGGAGAAGGGAGGCCGTAGCCCAGTGACAACCCTTCCTTCCTACCCCATGGGGCCTGCCCCTCCTGATACCAGGAGTCAGGGTTTCTCCTGTGACGCACCCCCAGGCCTGAAGGGGCACCTCTTGAGGAGGCATGGCCCCTGGAGCCAGTGAGAGGGCAGGGGTGTCCCCTGGTCCTGCTCCCGTCTTTCCAACCTGGGTGGGGTGTCTTTCAGCCATCTGTGAGGGGCCGGACGCCTGCCAGAAAGACGAGGTGTGTGTGAAGCCGGGCCTCTGTCGATGCAAGCCTGGATTCTTTGGGGCCCACTGCAGCTCCCGTGAGTCTCAAGGGCCAGATGAAGTTGCTGGGCAGAGCTGGGTACGGGGGCAGTGGTGTGGGAGCAGGCGAGGCAGGTAGCCATGCAGCCTCAGGACAGCAGGGCCAGAATCCCCCCCAGCTTCACTGAGGAATTGCGGTCCAGAGACAGGAAGTGACACACACTCCCGGGAGATGACCTGAGTCACCGGGTTTTTACCCACATCCACAAAGCACTGCCCACCTGAGCATCTTCCTCTTCCACTTCTCAGAAAACCTGTGATTCCCCTTCATTGTAAAATGAGTGTATTACTTGCCTTTCCCACATATACCTTATACATGGGCAGTGGATGGAAGGGGGCCCCTGGCTGGGCTCTCTGCCCTCTCTGGCAGAAAGAGAGGGAAGGGAAAGGGGTTGGGAAGCAGGAGAGCCAGAGGGTGGGCATCAGGAATCAAGGAATCACTAGGGGAAAGGTGGCTTCTCCCGACACCCTGGCGGGCAGTATCCAGGCCTGAGATCAGGAGAAAGCCAGCTCTCCTCCAGCCCAGCAGAGATCCATCTCGGCAGGGAGGAGCAGGCATGGAGGAAGGCCCACCAACCTCGGTGCCACGCTCTGGGCAAGTCCCCTGCCCACTCAGGATCTCTGAGTGTGTTCTGGAATGTGAAGTGGCAGGCTGAGCCTCCCACTAATGGCTAAGGGTTTTCTGTAGGTCAGAGCGGAGCAGGAAGTGAGTGTTGCCCAGGACAGGCTGCCGGATGTTCTGAGGGTCTGTCCCCGGCTCTTGGAGGATGGGCCCAGCGCCCCTTTTCCTTGAGGAAGGGGACGCAGGGTAAGGGTCTGCGCGCGGCCCTGAGCCCGCTGACCCCTCCCGTCCCCACCCCCGCAGGCTGCCCGGGCCAGTACTGGGGCCCCGACTGCCGTGAGAGCTGCCCCTGCCACCCGCACGGCCAGTGCGAGCCAGCCACGGGCGCGTGCCAGTGCCAGGCCGACCGCTGGGGAGCCCGCTGCGAGTTCCCGTGCGCCTGCGGCCCCCACGGGCGCTGCGACCCCGCGACCGGCGTGTGCCACTGCGAACCCGGCTGGTGGTCGTCCACGTGCCGCCGCCCGTGCCAGTGCAACACCGCGGCGGCGCGCTGCGAGCAGGCCACGGGCGCCTGCGTGTGCAAGCCGGGCTGGTGGGGGCGCCGCTGCAGCTTCCGCTGCAACTGCCACGGCTCCCCGTGCGAGCAGGACTCCGGCCGCTGCGCCTGCCGGCCGGGCTGGTGGGGTCCCGAATGCCAGCAGCAGTGCGAGTGTGTGCGGGGCCGCTGCAGCGCCGCCTCCGGCGAGTGCACCTGCCCGCCCGGCTTCCGCGGAGCGCGCTGCGAGCTGCCCTGCCCGGCAGGCAGCCACGGGGTGCAGTGCGCACACAGGTGAGCGGGCGGGGCGGGGACAGGTGGGCTGGCGGGGCGGGGGCGGACACAAGTGAGCAGGCGGGGCGGGGCGGAGACAGGGGGGCGGGGCGGAGACAGGGGGCGGGGCGAAGACAGGTGGGCGGGGCGGACACCGGTGGGCGGGGCGGACACCGGTGGGCGGGGCGGGCACCGGTGGGCGGGGCGGACACCGGTGGGCGGGGAGGGGGCGGGGTGGAAACTGGTGAGCGGGCAGGGTGGGGGCGGGGCGGGCACAGGTGAGCGGTCGGGGGAGGGGGCGGAGGCGGACACAGGTGAGCGAGGCTGCGCGGAGACCTGTGAGCGGGCGGGGCGGAGCGGAGACAGGTGGCCGCGGCGGGGCGCCGGGAGGAGGGGTCAGGGCTTCGCGGTGCTCCTCTCAAAAAACATACAAAGCAGAGGAACGAGAAAGGGGAAAAGTCGGATAGGTGGGGTGGCTCACACCTGTAATCCCAGCACTTTGGGAGGCTGAGGCGGGTGCATCACCTGAGGTCAGGAGTTCGAGACCATCCTGGCCAACATGCTGAAACCTCGTCTCTACTAAAAACACAAAAATTAGCCGGGCTGCGCCTGTAGTCCCAGGTATTCGGTAGGCTGAGACAGGAGAATCGCTTGAGCCCTGGAGGCGGAGGTTGCAGTGAGCCGAGGTCGCACCACTGCACTCCAGCCTGGGCCAGAGAGCAAGACTCCGTCTCAAACAAAACAAAACAAAAACTTTTAAAAACGCTTTGTTGCCCCAGGTCCAGCCTCACCTGCTCATTTCATTGATTACTGCTGTGCAAAATATACTAGCACTGCTAGCAAGCCATATGTAGGTAATAAGTGGATCGAGTCCAACAATGATAGACTGGGTTAAGAAAATGTGGCACATATACACCATGGAATACTATGCAGCCATAAAAAATGATGAGTTCATGTCCTTTGTAGGGACATGGAAGAAATTGGAAATCATCATTCTCAGTAAACTATCGCGAGAACAAAAAACCAAACACCGCATATTCTCACTCATAGGTGGGAGTTGAACAATGGAATCACATGGACACAGGAAGGGGAATATCACACTCTGGGGACTGTTGTGGGGTGGGGGGAGGGGGGAGGGATAGCATTGGCAGATATACTTAATGCTAGATGACGAGCTAGTGGGTGCAGCACACCAACATGGCACATGTATACGTATGTAACTAACCTGCACAATGTGCACATGTACCCTAAAACTTAAAGTATAATAATAAAAAAATATATATAAATATATTTAAAAAAAGAAAATTAAAAAAATGGTTTCTTACAAAAAAAATAATAAATAAGTGGATCGAGTGACCAAGGGTCCTGAGCAAGGTCCCTTTAGGGCTCAGTGGCTTTCAAACTTTGACTGGCTGCACTCACAGTAAGAAATTTCATCCCTGGCTGGGCGCGGTGGCTCACGCCTGTAATCCCAGCACTTTGAGAGGCCGAGGCGGGCGGATCACCTGAGGTCAGGAGTTCGAGACCAGCCTGGCTAACATGGTGAAACCTCGTCTCTACTAAAAATACAAAAATTAGCCGGGCATGGTGTTGGGCGCCTGTAATCCCAGCTACTTGGGAGGCTGAGGCAGGAGAATCACTTGAACCCGGGAGGCGGAGGTTGCAGTGAGCCAAGATCGCGCCACTGCACGCCAGCCTGGGCGACAGAGTGAGACTCAGTCTTGAAGAAAATAATAATAAAATAAAATAAGAAATAAAAATGCTGGTCAGGATCAGCTAAATGGCTTTTATAAACTGCCCTTCTTCTCCCCTACTAATGGGTCTGACCCAAGTATATGATCCCAGCTAGTTAAGCATCTGAGGGAGAAACTTCAGGTAACTATTAGGCATCAATGGGAAATTAAGATATGGCAAATGTGAAATTATATTGGTGACAACAGTGGTCTCCAACCTTTTGGCACCAGGGACTGGTTTCATGGCAGACAATTTTTCTATTATTACACTGTAATCTATAATGAAATAATAATATGACTCACCATAATATAGAATCAGTGGGAGCCCTGAGCTTGCTTTCCCGCAGCTCGAGGGTCCCATCTGGGGGTGATGGGAGACAGTGACAGATCATCAGGCATTAGATCCTCGTAAAGAGCATGGAACCTGGACCCTCCCGTGCGCAGTTCACAATAGGACTGGCGCTCCTATGAGAATCTGAGGCCACCACTGATCTGGCTGGCAGCGGAGCTCAGGCGGTCAGGCTCCCCTGCTGGTCATCTCTACGCTGTCGCCCAGTTCCTAACATGCCACGGACTAGTACCAGTCCATGGCCCAGGGTTTGAGGACCCCTGGGTGAAAACACTTTACATTTTTTGCATTTCGTGTGATGGGGTAGAAGACACTACTGAGTCCCATTCATGCCAGACCTGGGGACGGCTCAGTGTGGAAAAAGGAAAAGTGAAAAGAGCAGGAGGGAAGGCCTGGCAGACCTCGCAAATGGGACTCAGAGCTTGGTGGTGACTCGCCTGCCCTGGCTGGGCTGCTGGCTCCTGATGGTCCTGGGACCCAGGGAAAGACGGTCACAGAGCAGATGCCTGGAAGGAAAGGGATGGGATCCTGTAAGAGCCCTCATTTGTCCTCATTGTACAACGTGGGGAAACTGAGGCTCAAACCTGCCTGACCCAGGTGGGACCCGAACACTCTCCAGGGCCCCCGAAGGCCTGCGTGGAGTACAGGGGTAGGAGGGGGTGGGCGCTCCATCCATCCACCCCCACTGTTCCCACGAAGCCCTTCTCTTCCCAGCTGTGGCCGCTGCAAACACAATGAGCCGTGCTCTCCAGACACAGGCAGCTGTGAGTCCTGCGAGCCGGGCTGGAACGGGACCCAGTGCCAGCAGCCCTGCCTGCCTGGCACCTTTGGCGAGAGCTGCGAACAGCAGTGCCCTCACTGCCGACATGGGGAGGCCTGTGAGCCAGATACTGGCCACTGTCAGCGCTGTGACCCTGGCTGGCTGGGGCCCAGGTGAGGGCACCATTCTGTTCAGGGTGGGGTACACCTTCCCCCAGGACCCTCAGCTCAGCGGCTCTCTCCGAGAGCACCACCCTCCCCGACACACAGGTTCATGCGGCCCCAGGGGCCTCCCTCCTGTTGAAGACTGGGGGAGAGCAGTGGGTTCTGGGGGGGCCTGGGCAGGATCCCAGCTCCCTCCCCTCTGAGGCTTCCTGCCCTCCTCGCCCTCTGGGGACTTGTAGTCTGTCACCTGCTGGATTTGGCCCCAAGTTCAAGGCCCTATTTGCACCTGAGCTTCACTGCTGAGGAGTGGCCAGTTGGGTCCTTGAGTCCAGGAGCGTGGGGCGGAGGGGTGGGGCCCCACAGTGGGGGCCAGGCCTGCCTTGGTCTCCCCTTCCCCGAGTCTTGCCTCACCCCAGGTGTGAAGACCCCTGCCCCACTGGTACCTTTGGGGAAGACTGTGGCTCTACCTGCCCCACCTGTGTTCAGGGGTCCTGTGATACTGTGACAGGGGACTGTGTCTGCAGTGCCGGCTACTGGGGGCCCAGGTAAGGATGGGGATCCCGGGGGCGGGAGAGTGCCAGGGGCCTAGGTCAGGGCTCTGTGCAGCATTTCCTGAACTTCCCTGGACAGTGCCCAGAAATCTCCCTGCCCGTCTCCTGCCTGCCTCCCCCACTTCACCCAGCCCTCAGCCTGCCTCTCCATGTCACTCCATAGCTGCAACGCCTCCTGCCCAGCCGGTTTCCATGGAAACAACTGCTCAGTTCCTTGTGAATGCCCAGAGGGACTCTGCCACCCTGTCTCTGGGTCCTGCCAGCCAGGTAAGGTGGAAGAAGGCTGCGGGGTGCAGTAGCCAGGGAAAGGCGGGCCCTTCACATGGGCTCCAGGGCAAGTTCCTCACCAGGGAGTCTGGGCCCACTTCAGAGATATTCTTTTTTTTTTTTTTTTTTCCCTTAAGACGAGGTCTTGCTCTGTCACCCAGGCCAGAGTGCAGTGGTGTGATGTCAGCTCACTGCAACCTCCACCTCCCAGGTTCAAGCCATTCTCCCATCTCAGCCTCTCGAGTAGCTGGGATTACAGGCGCACGCCTCCATGCCTGGCTAATTTTTATATTTTAGTAGAGACAGGGTTTCACCATGTTGGCCAGGCTGGTCTCAAGCTCCTGACCTCAGGTGATCTGCCCACCTCGGCCTCCCAAAGTGCTGGGATTACAGACGTGAGCCACTGTGCCCGGCCCAGAGACATTCTTTATACCTGAGCTCTGTGTGGATGCTCTGGGGCCCCCTGAAGATGTGACAGAGCCCCCGCCCCTGCGAAACCAGGCTAGAGCCGTGAAATGGGCAGCGGGGTGGCTGGACACTGACATGGCCTCAGGGGCAAGAACCTGTGGAGGGGACACGCCAGCAGAGGGGCTGCCCGGAGGCAGGGAGTGACCCCCAGGAAGAAGCTTCTGGGTAGCAGGCAACTCAGAGCAAAGACAGGATGTGTAGGAGACAGGAAGGCCTGAATATCCCCCGTTTCTGGCTCCCCCAGGCTCTGGCAGTCGGGACACTGCCCTCATCGCGGGCAGCCTTGTGCCTCTGCTGCTGCTCTTCCTGGGCCTTGCCTGCTGTGCCTGCTGCTGCTGGGCCCCCCGATCAGACCTCAAGGACAGGTGAACGCCAGCCCGTCCCTTCCCCACACAGCTCAGGCCACAGGGTGGGAGCAGGGGGGCATCTGGTTTCCTTGTGGGGTGGGGAGGGCTGGCCTTGTTGCCCACGTGGGTCAGAGGTGATGGGGGTGGGGAGGGCTGGCCTTGTCGCCCCCGTGGGTCAGAGGTGATGGGGGTGGGGAGGGCTGGCCTTGTCGCCCACGTAGGTCAGAGGTGATGGAGGTAGTTGGCAGTGCCCGTGGCCTGGAGACACTGGAGACACCGGGTCAGCTGCCTGCCCTCCTCGGAAGCCTTCAATGAGGAAGTTTCTGAGTTGCATGGGCACCAGGCTGGCGAACCGGAGCCTGCAGCGGGAGGCAGAAAGCTGACACCGGCGGGGACCAGAGGAGGAGGGCTGGGACCACGGAAGGAGCAGCCCGGCTCTGGGCCAGGAGGGAAAGAGACCAGGCCTCAGATGGCCCACGAAGGAAAGAGACATCAATGTCTGTGCAGTGGTTTAGCAGAGAGTGTAGCTGCCTGAGAGACGGAGAGGGGAGGAAGGGTTGGGCTGGTGGGGCCCGCGCAGGGGGCTTACGCAGAGCTTTGTTCCTTTATGAAACCTCGTCACATTCCAGGCTCCTTTGAGACTCACAGCAGCGTGGAGGTTTGGAACAGGGAGTGTGGGGCCGGGAGGATAAATGTCCTCAATTCCCAGAGGACATTGAGGCCCAAGGTGATCTAGTTGGTACTGGCACACAGGAAGCCCCTCTCCACCTTTTTGGACTCTTTGTCTGGTGCTCTCTTACTAGTTCCTGCCCTAGTCCAATAGCACATCCTCCTCTGTGCTTGTGCGGCATTCACAGAGGAGCAGATACAGTTGCCCCTGGCCCAGGGCATAGAGCCCAGGGTGGGAAGAAGCCCCTCGCAGGGACACGAGGACAGGTGCAAAGGCTGTTGGAGGAACAGTGAAGAGCAGAGCAGTCTCCTCCACATGTGGGGGTAGAGCAGAGTGGGAACAAGGGAAGGCTTCCTGGAGGGGGTGTCATTTGAGACAGGTGCGCCGGGCGCAGTGACTCACGCCTGTAATCCCAGCACTTTGGGAGGCCAAGGTGAGTGGATCACCTGAGGTCAGGAGTTCAAGACCAGCCTGGCCAACATGGTGAAACCCCGTCTCTACTAAAAATACAAAATTAGCCGGGTGTGGTGGTGCACGCCTGTAATCCCAGCTACTCAGGAGGCTGAGGCAGGAGAATCACTTGAATCCAGGAGGCGAAGGTTGCGGTGAGCCAAGATCGTACCACTGCACTCCAGCCTGGGCAACAAAAGCGAGACTCTGTCCCAAAAATAGAGAGAGAGAGAGAGAGAGAAACGTGAGCTGAGGCTCAGCTAGGATGATAATAACAAAGACCTGCCAGGTCCTGCAAAAAGCTCAGATAGATGATAGATAGATGGATAGATATAGATAGATAGATAGATAGATAGATAGATAGATAGATAGATAGGATCTGTTTTACAGATGCGGAAACTGAGGCCTAGGGAGGTGAAGTGTGAACCAGAGTTGTTACTCGGCTGTCTGACTCTAGAGCCACTCTTTGTTCTGTGGCAGGCCTGAATTGTGGGCTCAATCATTTGGATTTTATTCTGTAGTCAATAGAGAGCCACTGAAGCCACTGAAGTAGAGGCAGTCACCCTGTCACACCCTGCCAAGGTGACCCAGGTCACCGTGGGTCTCATGTACTGACCAGTGTCCCTACCCTCCTCCCTCAGGCCAGCGAGAGATGGAGCTACCGTGTCCAGGATGAAGCTGCAGGTCTGGGGGACACTGACCAGCTTGGGCTCCACGCTGCCCTGCCGTTCCCTCAGCTCCCACAAGCTACCCTGGGTGACAGGTCAGTGGGCGCTGGGGGCCGGGGTCTGGGATTGGACAGGGCTTTGCATCAGGTCCTGCAGGCGCCTGATCTGGAGTCTCTACAGTCTCACATCACGACCCGGAGGTCCCCTTCAACCACAGCTTCATCGAGCCGCCCTCTGCCGGCTGGGCCACTGATGACTCCTTCTCATCCGATCCTGAGTCTGGAGAGGCAGATGAGGTTCCTGCCTACTGTGTGCCACCCCAAGAAGGTAGCCCCCCAACAGCCCACATAGCCCCTGAGCAGCCCTGCCCACCACGACCCCCTCTTTAGTCCTCCAGCAAAGTTATTTATTTTTATTTTTTTTTGAGACTGGGTCTTGCTCTGTCGCCAGGCTGGAGTGCAGTGGTGCGATCTCAGCTCACTGCAACCTCTGCCTCCCGGGTTCAAGTGATTCCCCTGCCTCAGCCTCCCAAATAGCTGGGATTACAGGCGTGCACCACCACACACGGCTAATTTTTATATTTTAGTAGAGACCGGGTTTCACCGTGTTAGCCAGGATCGTGATCCACCCGCCTCAGCCTCCCAGAGTGCTGGGATTACAGGCATGAGCCACTGCGCCTGGCCAGCAAACAGTTATTAAGGGCCCATTTTGTGTTAGTCACTGTTCTTGGCTCCGGGCATGCAAGAGATAACAAGACAGATTCCTATCCTCACCAGGCTTAGAGTCAGATGGGCAGTCATCAGACAATGACAGGACACAGTGATATGTGTTTCCATGGGGGACATACAAGTAGGGACTCATTTGCTAGCCATGTTGGGGTGACTGGGGTCAGGGACGATGTGTGTGGCATCCCAGTCGAGTCTAGCAGAATCAGTAGGAGTTGGCCAAGTGAAAGTCAGGGAGAGGAGGGAATGGTGTTTCAGGAAGATGGAACAGCATACACAAAGGCCCAGAGGTGAGAGGGATGTGGCTGTGTGCCATCGAAAGAGTTTTAGCTTGGTAAGAGTGTGACAGTATTTCAAAGTAGGGAGAGGTGGTGAGAAAAGAGTATAGAGACCAGGTGTGGTGACTCACACCTGTGATCCCAGCACTTTGGGAGGCTGAGGCGGGAGGACTGCTTGAGGCCAGGGGTTTGATACCAGCCTGGCCAACATAGTGAGACCCCATCTCTACAATTAAAAAAAAAAAAAGTGTAGAAGTAACAGTGTCTACCTGAATTGGTCCTTCTGCCACTCTCCTCATCCTTGCCCTCTTCCTTGCCCTATTTTTGAGGCCTCCTGGAAGATGCTGAGCTGTGGGTAGGATGCATTGGGGTGGCCAGTTCAGCTCCAGCCAAGCTCTTCTGTCTCCTCTGCCAGGGATGGTCCCTGTGGCCCAGGCAGGGTCGTCAGAGGCCAGCCTGGCTGCAGGTGCTTTCCCGCCCCCTGAGGACGCCTCCACGCCATTCGCCATCCCGCGCACCTCCAGCCTAGCTCGGGCCAAGCGGCCATCGGTCTCCTTCGCGGAAGGTACCAAGTTTGCACCACAGAGTCGCCGAAGCTCAGGGGAGCTCTCCAGCCCGCTCCGAAAGCCCAAGAGGCTCTCCCGGGGGGCGCAGTCGGGTCCTGAGGGCCGGGAAGCCGAAGAGTCCACAGGCCCAGAGGAAGCAGAAGCCCCCGAGTCCTTTCCGGCGGCTGCCAGTCCCGGGGATTCAGCCACTGGCCACCGGCGGCCCCCACTTGGTGGCCGGACAGTGGCTGAGCACGTGGAAGCCATTGAGGGCAGCGTCCAGGAGAGCTCGGGCCCTGTGACCACGATCTACATGCTGGCAGGGAAGCCCCGCGGATCCGAAGGCCCTGTCCGCTCTGTCTTCCGCCATTTTGGTAGCTTCCAGAAAGGCCAGGCGGAAGCCAAGGTCAAGAGGGCCATCCCTAAGCCTCCGCGCCAGGCCCTGAATCGGAAAAAGGGCAGCCCTGGCCTTGCCTCTGGCTCTGTCGGCCAGAGCCCCAACTCAGCCCCAAAAGCTGGGCTTCCTGGGGCCACAGGGCCTATGGCAGTCAGACCAGAGGAAGCGGTCCGGGGGCTGGGGGCTGGCACCGAGAGTTCAAGGAGAGCCCAGGAGCCAGTCTCTGGCTGTGGCTCCCCAGAACAGGATCCCCAGAAGCAGGCTGAAGAGGAAAGGCAGGAGGAACCTGAGTATGAGAATGTTGTACCCATCTCCAGGCCACCAGAACCCTGATGACCTTGAATTTGGGGAGTGGGGAGAGTGGATGGACTAGACTGTGCTGTGTGCTGGAAAATGATCCCGGGGCCAGGACAGACAAACCAGAGCCTCTGCGCCTCCACAGGGAAAAGGCAAGGCTTCCAGGCCAGTTGGCCCAGGCCCCTGGCAGTGCTCCCGGAGGGGCCCAGGAAGGCCTGGGCAGAGACCCTGTAGGATGGGGTCAGGAAGGGTTGCCTGCAGGGACTTTTGCTCTGCTGTCCTGGACCCTGTGTGCCTCATAAGGGCTATTCTTTCTTTCACGTGCAAAACATTTTTCTGAAATAGCAAACAACCTACATGTTTGCTGATAAAAGATTGGCTAAACAAATTTTTTTTTTTTTTTTTGAGACAGAATCTCCCTCTGTCCCCCAGGCTGGAGTGCAGTGGTGCGATCTCGGCTCACTGCAAGCTCTGCCTCCCGGGTTCACGCCCTTCTCCTGCCTCAGCCTCCCGAGTAGCTGGGACTACAGGTGCCCTCCACCACGCTTGGCTAATTTTTTTGTATATTTAATAGAGACAGGGTTTCACCATGTTAGCCAGGATGGTCTCGATCTCCTGACCTCGTGATCCACCTGCCTCGGCCTCCCAAAGTGCTGGGATGACAGGCATGAGCCACCACGCCTGGTCTATGAACTTTTTAAAAAGGATGTATGTGTATAAAAACAGATTCAAGGGAAAGGCACTAAATGGTTTTTTCCTCTGGAAGATGAGATTGTAGGTGATATTTATTTTCTTCTGAAACTTTTGTATAGTTTGCAAATTTTCTACAGTGAACATTCTTTTTTACTTTTGTTACTAGATTGAATTTGATAAAGTATAATAAAAAGCAATGATCTTTGTTAAAAAAATAAAAAGTACTAACATTACAGACATGTATAAAGTAAAACGGAGATTTCCTTTCTCCCCAGAGGCGTCTGTGGGTCAAGAGAGAGGTAGAATCTACTTTTCCCTGGCAGCTTTTTGGTCTTGTTTGAATTCTTTGCTCACATATTACCTAGTCAGAAAAGAAAAGGGGCAACCCTCCCCCCGAGCTTTATTTTTTTTTTTTTTAAGATGGAGTCTCAGTCTGTCACCCAGGCCGGAGTGCAGTGGTATGATCTCGGCTCACTGCCACCTCTGTCTCCCCGGTTCAAGCGATTCTCCTGCCTCAGCCTCCTGAGTGGCTGGGATTACAAGCGCCCGCCACCATGCCCGGCTAATTTTTGTATTTTTTGGTGGAGACAGGGTTTCACCATGTTGGCCAGGCTGGTCTTGAACTCCCAAACTCAAGGGCTCCACAGCTTCGGCCTCCCAGAGTGTTGGGATTATAGGCATGAGCCACCGCGCCCGGCCAGGGGCAGCCCCTTCTATCTCAGTGCTCAGAGAGTCTCATCAACAGTTGAGGTGCTTTCTTTCAGATGTTTTTCTGTGTACATGTCAACAAATATTTTAAACAAAAAATTTTAGCATACTAAGCATACTGTTCCTCAGCTTCTTTTTTTTTTTTTTTTTTTCTTTTTGAGACGAAGTTTTGCTCTGTTGCCCAGGCTGGAGTGCAGTGGTGCAATCTCAGCTCACTGCAACCTCTGCCTCCCGGGTTCAAGCGATTCTCCTGCCTCAGCCTGCTGAGTAGCTGCAATTACAGGTGTGTGCCACCACACCCAGCTAATTTTTGTATTAGTAGAGATGGGGTTTCACCATGTTGGCCAGGCTGTTCTCGAACTCCTGACCCGCCTTGGTCTCCCGAAGTGCTGGGATTACAAGCGTGAGCCACCGCGGCCAGCCTCAACTTGCTTTTTTACTTAACGACATATCCTGGATATAGTTCAATGTCCATAAATGTAAAGCTAACTCTCTTTATTTAAAAAATGACTACATGAGATTCCATCTAGCACAATTATTTAAATCATTCCCCCGCCAATGGAAGGTTGGGTTGTTCTGATCTGTTTTGATACAATAAGCAATGACATAGTATACAACTTTGTCCATATTTATTTATTTATTTATTTTTTGAGATGGAGTTTCACTCTTGTTGCCCAGGCTGGAGTGCAATGGCACGATCTCAGCTCACTGCAACCTCGGCCTCCTAGGTTCAAGCGATTCTCCTGCCTCAGCCTCTCGAGTAGCCGGGACTACAGGCGCATGCCACCACGTGCAGCTAATTTTTTTGCATTTTTAGTAGAGATGGAGTTTTGCCATGTTGGCCAGGTTGCTCTCGAACTCCTGACCTCAGAAGATCTTCCCACCTTGGCCTCCTAAAGTGCCGAGATTACAGGTGTGAGCCACTGTGCCCAGCCACTAAAGCTTCTAAAAAGTATATATAATTTTTGTGTGTGTGTTTAGCCATCAACAATTATATCTCATTACAATTTAAAGTTCTATGAGTATTCTAAGGTTGTTTCTTTTCCGTCTTGGCTCACTGCAACCTCCGCCTCCCAGGTTCAAGCCATTCTTGTGCCTCAGCCTCCTGAGTAGCTGGAATTACAGGCGCCCACCACCATGCCCAGCTAATTTTTGTACTTTTTGTAGAGATGGGGTTTTGCCATGTTGGCCAGGCTGGTCTCGAACTCCTGACCTCAGGTGATCCACCCACCTCAGCCTCCCAAAGTGCTGGGATTCCAGGTGTGAGCCACCGCACCTGGCCATTTGCCCCTTTTCAGGAGTTCATGTTTTCATTCCACAAACTCATATTGTGCAACTGCTTTGTGCTTGCTTCTCTATCAAGGGCTGGTCATACAAAGTTGAATAAGACACCGTCCTGCCCCCAAAGAGTTCATAGTCAATTAGAGAGGAAGGCAAACAGACGAATAGCTAATTATAAAACAATGCCAGCAGTGGACAAATAAAGTGAACAGTATTAATGGGGAGTGGTTAGGGAAGGCTTCCCAGCGGAGGTGCCGTCCAAAATGAGGCTATGTCGCGAGCTAGAGGAGAGAGAACAGCAGGTGCAGAAACCACAGGCAATTCCATGTGACTGGAGCATCGGGGACCAGGCAGGTCAGATGTCCTTCAGAGGGAGGGAGAGGGAGGAGCCTGTGTGGGTCAAATTGGGGAACTGGAACTTTTAAATTTTGTTTATTTTTTTGAGACGGAGTCTCGCTTTGTTGCCCAGGCTGGAGTACAGTGGCACAATCTCTGCTCACCGCAACCTCTGCCTCCCCAGCTCAAGCAATTCTCCTGCCTCAGCCTCCCAGGTAGCTGGGATTACAGGCGTGTGCCACATCACCCAGATCTTTTTTTTTTTTTTTCTTTTCAGACAAAGTTTCGCTCTTGTTGCCCAGGCTGGAGTGCAGTGGCACGATCTCGGCTCACTTCAACTTCCGCCTCCCAGGTTCAAGTGATTCTCCTGCCTCAGCCTCCAGAGTAGCCGGGATTACAGGTGTGCGCCACCACACCCAGCTAATTTTTTGTTTCTTTAGTAGAGACAGGGTTTCACCATCTTGGCCAGACTGGTATCGTACTCCTGATCTTGTGATCTGCCCACCTCGGCCTCCCAAAGTGCTGGGATTACAGGCGTGAGCCACCGCGCCCAGCCATTTTTGTATTTTTAGTAGAGACAGGGTTTCACCATGTTGGCCAGGCTGGTCTTTAACTCCTGACCTCAAGTGATCTGCCCGCCTCAGCCTCCCGAAGTGCTGGTATTACAGGTGTGAGCCACCGTGCCCAGCCAGGAACTGGAACTTTATCCTGTTTTACAAATAATAGTTTCTGAAGGATTTTGGCAGAAGTCACATTTACATTTCCCTTAGTGCCCTGGGATGAGATGGGGGCTGGATTTGAGGAACTGAAATCTGAAGGTGGCTCAACAACAGTAGTTGCGGGCCTAAGGGCACAGATGGACCGATTAGGTAAATATGTAGGAGATACAGCTGTATCAGTTTGATGGGGATGCGGTGAGGGAGAGGCAGAATCACAGCGACTGCCTAACAAATGTCTGATGAAAGGATGGTTCTCAGCAGGGCACTGTGAGTCATGCCTGTAATCCCTGCACTTTGGGAGGCTGAGGTGGGAGGATCACTTGAGCCCAAGACTTCAAGACCAGCCTGGGCAACAGGGCAAGACCCTATCTGTACAAAAAATACAAAAATTAGCCAAGTGTGGTAGCATGCACCTGTGGTCCCAGCTACTTGGGAGGCTGAGGCAGGAGGATCACCTAAGCCCAGGAGGTCGAGGCTGCAGTGAGCTATGATCATGCCACCACACTCCAGCAGTCTGGGTGCCTGAGATCCTGTCTCAAAAAAAAAAAAAAAAAAAGAAAAAGAAAAAAGACAGGGTTCTTGGTATCTAACTTCAGTAGACAGTAGTAGTATGGTTATCTGAGAGAAAATGTGGAGGACAGTTCTGGGGGATATTTGAGGCATGTTTGAGCCCTGCAGCGCCGTCAGGCTGCTCAAAGAGGAGGGAAGGGTGAAGAAAGAGATTTTTCAGATGGCAGTTGAAACCTTGGGAGTGGGAAGGGTTCCACAGGGTGAGGAACCGGGTAGGCTACCAGCTGGAGCCGCCCCCCAGCAGGCTGACAGCTCCAAGCGTTGTCTGGGGGAGGTTGCCCTCGCCAGGTGGCCCGGGCGGATTCTAGACAGTAGGGGGCACACTCGGACTGGGGCAGGTGGAGCAAGAGGCGTTTGGGGCTCCCACAGCCCTGGGGTGGTGGTGGGGTTTTATTTTTGGTTTTTATTTTGGTAGAGATGGTTCTCGCCATGCTGCCCAGGCTGGTCTCAAACTCCTGTCCCCAAGTGGCCCTCCGACCTTAGCCTCCCAAACCGCTGGGATTCCAGACGTGGACACCGCGCGGCAGCCCTGGGGTGCTAAGCCAGCCCCCCGGAGCGAGCCAGGGTGACCAAGGCGATTCTGGGGCAGTCAGAGGGTCTTCCCGGGTCGGGTTAGTGCCTCGAATCCGGGGGACGAAGACGGGGAGCTGAGCTTTCGGAGCCCGGGCTTATCAGACGGGGACCCGGAGCCCCCTCGAACCCTCCCTAGCTTGTACCAGCTGGCGGACGTGGCCCGTAGCATCGCCCTGCAGAGGGGACCTTCCCTGAAAGGGACGGGGAACGGGGTGAAGGTGGCCAGCGCGGGCAGGGAGCACCCAGATGACGATCAAGGGTGGAGGGTCCCCGGAGGACCGAGCAGTGCGTGAACACGGGCGGAGAAAGGTCAGTCTGATGGGGGGAGCTCAGGAGACCCCATCCTAGGACGGGACAGACCAGCCCCAAATCCCCTTGCAGATTTCCAAGGGCCAACTTCCAGGGACCGGGCAGACGCCACCGGGGAGAGGGGAAGGGGTCGGTGCATCAGCGGGGGGCGCCACGGCTGGACCGGGTCCGGGATCCCAGGCCCCGAATACGCCGGGACGGGAACCACCGGGGCGGGGGAGCGAGGAACCAGGACCCAAAGCCCGAGGCGGCGGGGACGGCGGCGCTGCGTGGGGAGGAGGCGGGGTGGGGATTCGAGAGTGGAACCACCGTGCGGAGCCGGCGCATCTGGGCGTGGTGACCCGCGCGCAGGGGGCAGCTGGGGACGGCGGGGCGGCCGCGGGAGAGCCCGGCTGGGGGCGCTGGTGGCCCGGCGGCTTCTGGGGGGAGTCCGCTGGGGGCCGGGACGCGGAGCCGGAGCCCCAGCCTCGCAGGGTCAGGCCGCTGGAGAGGCCGCGGGGCGATGTCGCCGGGGATTCCCGGCCGCGCTGTGACTCGGGTTGAAGGCTGCAAAGCCGAGGCCCGGCCCGCAGCGCCCAGGCCCCTCCCGTCCCCCATCTCTCTTGTTTGTCTCCGAGTCCGGCCGGAACCGGCTTCTGCTCGCGGCGGGGCGGGCGGGGGGCTGGCTGCTGATTGGTCGACGCCTGTTTCCAGCCCCGCTCAGCCAATCAGCGGGCGGCAGTGTTTTCTTCTTGGGGTCGGAATAAAAGGGCTGGAATAAAAGAGGGCAGAAAAGGCGCCGGGCGGGCCCGACACACGCCGGAGGAGCCGGGTGAGCTGCAGCAGGGAGGGGATCGCGGCCGGGGCGAGGGCGCGGGGGCAGAAGCGGCCGCCGAAGGGGCGTAGGGAGAAAACGTGGGAACGAGGAGAGAGATGGAGCGATGAGGGGCCGCCAGGGAAGAGATGACGAACAGATGCGGGCTGGGGAATGGAGGCGCGGGGGTCCGAGGCCATGGAAACGGGCGAGTTGCCGGGGGAACGCCCGAGATGGGGGTCGCGCGGCTGGCTCGCGCCACCGGTTTGAACCGGCTCCTCGTCTCCCACGCTGGGTTCGCGTGGCCGCAGCGCCTAGCGACCTAGACGGCGGCCAATGGCGCGGCAGTTCCTGCGCCGTCCGGCCAATGAGCGCGCCGGGGCGGGCCGTTCCGTAGGTCTGGGCGCTGATCTTGTGGTTGAAGAAACCAGCTCTGGGGAAGGGTCTCGGGCGCGGGCGGGAGGGCACCTGTCAGGGTCCCTGGGAGAGGCAGCCCTCGGATCTGCCCCTGCCCACCTCACGCTGCGTTCCATGCTGGCCCCAGGCGATGTCAGTCCTGCTGCAGGCCAGGACTAGTTCCACGGCCCTGAGCATGCGTTAGCCCCTTCTTGCCTCCATGCCTCAGTTTACCTCGGAGTGAGCTGCGGGAGACGTCTCCCTGCCTGGCCGGGGCGGCTCTGTCGTAGCGGAGGGCAGCGGTACGAGCCGGCCGCGGGCTCGGGGTGTCCCAGGTCCGGGCAGGGCTGGGGTTCGCTTCCTCTGCTGCGCGCACCGGCCGCCGCGGCCGGGGAGGGGTGGCAATCCCGAGCCCTGCGGCAGCGGTCGGGGCTGCTGGGGGCGGCCGCAGGGGCTGGGCAAGGGCCGGCCGCTGACGCCGAGTTCTGTGCGCAGGTGGTGCAGAGCCGGAGCCGGAGCCGGAGCCGCGCCGCGCCGCACCATGGCGCCCACCCTGGCCACTGCCCATCGGCGCCGCTGGTGGATGGCCTGCACGGCCGTGCTGGAGAACCTCCTCTTCTCGGCAGTCCTCCTGGGCTGGGGCTCGCTGCTCATCATGCTCAAGTCAGAGGGCTTTTACTCCTACCTGTGTACCGAGCCAGGTGAGACAAGCGCCTGGGGTTGCGGGGGGCTCCTGGAGCTGGGGCTTTGGGAGGGGGCGGGATGGGGGCGAAGACCTAGCGAGCCACAGCACCGCATTGCCCAGTGCCTCTAGGGTATCAGAAGGCCCATCTGATCCTCACCCAGCCCTGCCGGGTACTTGTCATTGCCCCTGTTTTGTGGACGAAGACATCGAGGCTCAGAGCGATCTGTCTTGCGCAAGGCCGCAGAGCCTGGGCCTGCCATCCACCCAGAACCCCACCTGCTGTCCAGGGTGTTCCTTCCACCCGCTACGAACAGTGCTGGACTGCTCTCCTCTCCTCCCAGCCCTGGAACATAGCTTGGCTGGTAGTAAACATGTTGCTGTCTGCTTGTGAGAAAGAGGAACTCCAGATTAAGGGGCTGGGGTGCAGCAGGAGAGGAAGTGGCCTTGCCTCCACCCCAGGGAGGGCTCATCTAGAATCTAGACGTTCCTCAGGCCATTGTGGAGTCTCCTAAGTGCTTGCTGGACACAATTTCTTGTCTATTTTTGCTGCCTTATGATTCTCCAAAGGACATTTCCCCCACGGGCTCTGAGGACATCTCCGTGGCTTTCCAACCCCATGGGGATGAAGGGGAAGAGAAGAAAGGAACGTTTATGGAAATGATGCTAGGGTTGTTCTCTCCTCTTTGCCTTGTCACTGGAATTGCTGAAGGCAGGCTGAGGATGCTTCTCTACATGACATCTGCACCACCCAACACACACTTACCTTCACACCTTCATACCCTGTTGGAGGGTCCTGATGACTACAGGGCAGTAAATTCAGCCCCACAGGAGGGCCACAGCAGCCCCCAGCCTCTAGCCTCCTACCCTCCTTCTTAGGCAACCTTGACAGGAAATTTTCCCTCTGCCTTCTCCTTGATCCCAACGGTAGCTGCATAATAGCTGAGCTCACATAATCCCTGTCGCCAGTGCTAGAGTGCCCTTAGATGGAGGTAGCCCAGGTTTGACTTCCTGAATCCCCAGCAGCAGGCCTTTTCTTTCTAGAGCTCTTTGCAGGAAGAGAAAGCTTTGGACCAGCTCATGCTGGGTGTAATCCTTTGTGGAAGCCTCCCTGTTTCCCTTCTCTGATCTGCCCCGGAGATTCCTGTGTGTCCCAGTCTCTAGGGAGGGAGGCTTAGCTGGAGAGGTTCAGGGCAGGAGAAAGCAGGAGAATGCAGAGGCCGCGGGGAGAGGACAGAAAGTATATCATTTATAACTAACCTTTAGCCTTTAGCCACTCAAAAATATTTCCTAATAGCCTAAGGGTTCTTGGCAGGTCTTTCCCCACATCAGCAAGAAATCTTGGGAGTTGGGAAGAGTCAGACCTTGTTCCCTGAACAAGCTTTCTGCTTTGGCCAAGAGTTGTTAGGAGATTAATGCCTGTCCCCGAAAGGCACAGGTTGGAGTGTTTACTTCTTCCTCTCCTTTCCTCTCTCCCCCCTTAGAGATCGTGACCCTTCCTGCTTGCCTCCCTGGTGGGCTCTTTCAGGCTGGACACAGGGTTTAAAAAAAAAAAAAAAAAGCAGAAAAAAAGTCATCGTCCCCAGAGAAAGCTTTTAGTGTCTCACCCAGACCAGAGAACTGTTGTGGGCAGGTGTTTTTTTGTGTGTTTTTTTTTTAACCCACCATGATGTCGGAAGGTCAGATTCTAGGTGTTTTTTGTTTGTTTTTTGTTTTTTGTTTTTTTTTAATAGAATGTCCACGGATTTAATTGATTGTATGGTTTTGGCAGAATTGGGTCTGGTCCTTTCATTCCTGCCTCAACCTCAGCTTCCTCCTCTGTCTAAGTGGGAGGAGTCCCAGAGATTGTGCCAGCGCAGTGCTGAGTTGGTGTTTTAAGCCCTGGGCAGACTTGACAGGTAACTCCACTAAACCAAAGTGAAGGTGAAGGGTCAGGATTGTGGGTTGAACATCAACTTCTTATCCCGAACTTTTGCTCCTGCCTCCAATTTTGGTTTTTCTTATTATCTGGCAAACATGCTGAGCCCACGTTCTGGGCGGGAAGGCTGCTGATTCCACACAGCTTATCTCTCTGGTCACACTGCTCCTTGATTCTTGGAGTCTGCATCACCAGTTTTCTTTCAGGCCAGAAATCCCCGCATTTGGCTCGTCTGGGAGTGCCTGGCGAAGTTAGGGTGAAGGTTTCTGCTTCAGTCTAACATTTTCAAACTTGGTGCATGGCTGAATTGCAGAGAAGCAGATAGGCCATTTTTGAATTTATTGAATTAGACTTGTGAAAGCCTGAGCAGTGTCCGGCTGATTGAGATGCAAATTTGTCAGCTTCGTGTCACTCTAGGACGATGCTTTAGTTTGTTCTCTAAAGAAAATTTGCCTGAACCTGTTGAAAGGTTCTTAGAACTCTTTCTTACGACTCCAGCCAGAATCTCGCCACAGACACCGTGTTGGGTTCCAGCCTGGTGAGGTGGCAGAAGGAAGGAAACAGCTCATTTCTCGGCTGCCCCGCAGTTTGTTCTTCCTTGCCTGCTGGGAGACGTGGCAGGCTGGGTTTGGGGACCTGGGTGCGGGAAGTTGGCAATGGGTTTTGCACAACGTCCTCCAGGTGTTGGCTGCTGGATGCCTCCCTCGTCCCCCTGGTGAGGGCAGGAGACCAGTTGGGTTCTCAGCCCGAGAAGCACGGGGCTTCCTGGAGCTGTGTCCTCTTGGCCTCTGGGATGGCAACGTGACGGCCCACTCCTGAGCTCTTTCTTCGTTTTCTCTGTTGTCCAGTGGCCCCCGCTTCAACAGGGTCAGGGTCAGCCTGGGGGGCTGCGGCTACCTGTGGATGGTTTTTTTTTATTTGAGACAGGGTCTCGCTCTGTTGCCCAGTCTGGAATGTAGTGTTGCAATCACAGCTCACTGCGGCCTTGACTCCTGGGCTCAAGCAATCCTCCCGCCTCAGCCTCCCGAGTAGCAGTAGCTGGGACTACAAGTGTGCGCCACCATACTCAGCTAATTTTTGTATTTTTTGTAGAGACAGGGTCTCGCCATGTTGCCTAGGCTGGTCTCAAACTCCTGGGCTCAAGCGATCCTCCTGCCTCAGCCTTCCAAAGTGCTGGGCCTGCAAGCATGAGCCATCAAACCCAGTTAGTTTTTTGTTTTTGTTTTTGGGATTACAGGTGCCCACCACCACGCCCGGCTAATTTTTGTATTTTTTAGTAGAGATGTGGTTTTACCATGTTGGCCTGGCTGGTCTCGAACTCCTGACCTCAGGTGATCCACCCGCCTTGGCCTCCCAAAGCACTGGGATTACAGGTGTGAGCCACCACGCCCGGTCAAATTTTTTGTAGAGATGAGGGTTTCATCACGTTGCTCAGGCTGGTCTCAAAACTCCTGGGCTCAAGTGATCCACCAGCCTCAGCCTCCCAAAGTGCTGGGACTACAGGTGTAAGCCACCATACCCAGTTAATTTTTAAATGTTTTGTAGAGATAGGGGTTTCACCATGTTGCCCAGGCTGGTCTTGAACTCCTGGGCTCAGTCGATCCACCCACCTCGGGCTCCCACATTGCTGGGATTATAGGCGTGAGCCACCGCTCCAGGCCTACATGTGGATCGTTAATCCCCTCTTTCTTGTAACCTAAACATTCAGTAAACATTGACGAAGGTGCCGTGCTGGGTGCAGAGGAAACAAGTCATCACACGCATACCTGTGTAACCCGTATAATTCCAGGGGGTGGTCGGGCCCCCAAGAAAGCAGGGCGCCAGGAGCTAGAACAGCAGCGGAGATGTGGCTCCTGCTGGGTGGGAGGGCCTCTCTGCGGTTCAGGTGGAAGCCTGGAGGTTGAGGAGGGGTGATTCAGGAGAGGAGGGTACACCCTGGAGGAGAGGAGGGTACACCCTGGAGGAGAGGAGGGTACAGCCTGGAGGAGAGGAGGGTACACCCTGGAGGAGAGGAGGGTACAGCCTGGAGGAGAGGAGGGTACAGCCTGGAGGAGAGGAGGGTACAGCCTGGAGGAGAGGAGGGTACAGCCTGGAGGAGAGGAGGGTACAGCCTGGAGGAGAGGAGGATACGCCCTGGAGGAGAGGAGGGTACGCCCTGGAGGAGAGGAGGGTACAGCCTGGAGGAGAGGAGGGTACACCCTGGAGGAGAGGAGAGAAGTGGGAAGGGGCGGGGGCTGCAGGGACTGGGAGGCCATTCGGGGAAACTGAATTTTATTCCCAAGACAGGAGGAAGCCAGGGAGATAGAGGAGGGCGACCATCCAATTCCCCTGTTAGAGGCTTGTGTGAATTGCTGAGGGCTTGCCACATGCTGGTATGTTTGGGTGGCATAGAAACCAGAAGTCATCACGGCCTCTGCCTGAGGAAGTCACCCACAGTCTGACCATGGGCATGAAGGCCGACCCCAGTTGTATGCTCTTGACCTCTGCAGTTTCTCCACCTGTGGTGGTGGGAGAGAGCCTCTCACCCTGGCACAGAGGTCCCTGCGAGCTCGCCCTGGCACAGAGATCGCTGCAAGGGCAGAGGGGCTGCCGCCCACCTTGGGGAAGCAGGCCCAGGCTTGATCCCCACGGGCTGAGTGAAGCTGCAGATGTGGACAGGAGATTTCTCTGCTGCCTCGAGGACCTCTTTTCTTGGGGGATGGGGAGGAGGGAACGGAGTTTCACTCTTGTCGCCCAGGCTGGAGTGCAGTGGCGCAGTCTCGGCTCACTGTAACCTCTGCCTCTCGGGTTAAAGCGATTTTCCTGCCTCAGCCTCCCAAGTAGCTGGGATTACAGGCGCCTGCCACCATACCCGGCTAATTTTTTGTATTTGTATTTGTATTTTATTTTATTTTATTTTTTTGAGATGGAGTTTCACTCTGTCGCCCAGGCTGGAGTACAATGGCATGATCTCAGCTCACCGCAAACTCCATCTCCCGGGTTAAAGTGATTCTCCTGCCTCAGCCTCCCAAATAGCTGGGATTACAGGTGCCCACCACCACACCCGGCTAATTTTTGTATTTTTAGTAGAGACAGGGTTTCACCATGTTGGCCAGGCTGGTCTCAAACTCCTGACCTCAGGTGATCTACCAGCCTTGGCCTCCCAAAGTGCTGGGATTACAGGCGTGAGCCACTGCGCCCAGCTCAAGGGCCTCTCTTTTTAGAGTCTCTCCTCACACCCACAGGCAAGTGTGGATAGTTTTTTTTTTTTTGAGACAGAGTCTTGCTCTGTCGCCCAGGCTGGAGTGCAGTGGCGCGATCTCGGCTCACCGCAACCTCCGCCTCCCGGGTTCACGCCATTCTCCTGCCTCAGCCTCCCCAGTAGCTGGGACTGCAGGCGCCCGCCACCACGCCTGGCTAAATTTTTTTGTATTTTTAGTAGAGACGGGGTTTCACCGTGTTAGCCACGATGGTCTTGATCTCCTGACCTCGTGATCCACCCGCCTCGGCCTCCCACAATGCTGGGATTACAGGCGTGAGCCACCGCGCCCAGCCGGATAGCTTTCTTAAATCCAGCCTTTCACTTTTATTGCTATAAATATGACTTTTAAACTTTTCCCCCAGTTTATTTGGAATTTTAAAAATTCCATAGCAATGGGTAAGAAGGTTTAAAGGCTGGGGCCGGCAGCCTCAGGATGCGTCTCAGAGAAGAGCTGGTGGCCTTGGCTCTTCCCACCGCCCCAGCCTCCCTCCTTCTTGGTTCGTGACCTCATTTCCCTCACAGACATCCACTGGCCACCCCTGGCTTCTGGTGTCCATGAAGGTCCTGTCCAGCTTAGGCTGGCTCTCAGGGACCTCGTGGGAGAGTCTTAGTCCCATTCCCACCAAGCGATATTCAGGGCCTCCTGGTGTTGCCGGCACATGGGCAGCCTTTTCCCGGCTCTGTTCTCTCAGCATTTTCTCTCTGGGATATGAGCCTCTAGCCCAGGTAGGCCAGCATCGGCACAGACCGAGTGGTAAGAGCGGGAGCTTTGGGGTCTGACAGCCTGGAGTCAAGCCCAGCTTCCCCAGGGACCCCCATGAGACCTTCTGCAAGTGACTTACCTGCTCTGAGCATCCCTCGGGGACACTCTGACAGTATCCTCGTGGGGAATATGGGGTGGGCGTGGGCACACCCGTTGAGCATGGCAGCTGGCACACACTTTCATTGCACACACGGCAGCCGCTGCTGGGACCACTGCTCAGGGGCCAGGCCCTGGTCAGCCCAGGACGGCCTCTGCCTGTCCGTGCCCTCCTGCCTGTTGTTTGCTCTGTGTCTGAGCCGACCTCTCACCTACATCTCCCCTGCCGGACTGAGGACTGAGATGCTGCTTCCTGTTGCCGGATAGACTAAGGATTTGAGAGACGGGAGATCCTGGGCAGGGGCCATCGGTGGGCTGTCCAGGGGCCCGCACCCTGGAGGGGGGGCTCGGAAAGCGACTAGTCAGGGAAGGGGGCAGCTCAGGAATTTAGAGGGGACCTCAAGCCAGGTACTTCTTGGCCCCCTCAAGCATCATCTTGGAGGCCCCCCTCCCTTTGTCTCCCCGGGGTGTGGGGAGGCTCCTCTTTGCCTCAGGGGAGCCTGGGGGGCCACAGCACCCTCTTTTCTCCCTGATTCCTCTGTAAAGATCTTGTGCGTCTTCTGTGAGTGGGGCTGAACGGTGTACGTCCTCCCTGGCCCTGGGTCTCCTCCTAAGCAGCCCTGTTCCTGTTCTTGGCACTCACTGGCCACACCAACTCTTGCCTGTCTTCTCAGTTCACCTTCTCTGGCCAGGCTGGGCTGGGCCACTTCTGGCCACCCCAGAGGAGGCATCTGTTTAATAAACAGGTGCAGGTGAGGAGCAGAGCAGCCTGGCCGGGGGTGAGCAGAGCAGGCTGGCCCGGGGTCAAGCTCCAGGCTGGGAGCAGAGGGCCACCCCACGCCTTGGCACTTCCTGGGTGCTTAATCTGTTTGTCTCTCTCCTGACCCACGGTGGCCCAGGTGGGACCAGAGGGAGAGGAACAGCCTGGGTGTGTCTGTTTGGGCATCTGCTGGGTGCATGTGGGCTGTTTACTGTCAACAGAGCTTCTGGGCTCACCAAGGGCTTCCTTCCCTCCAGCAGGAGGGAGACTCTCAAATTGCTCCACAAGCAGAAGGAGAAGCCGCTCACCTCCCCGGCCCCAGGCGCCTCTGTTGCTGGACGGGACGGCCTGGAGGCAGGCGGCCGGGCAGAGGGCCTGGTGGCCCCATCGGCAGGGATTTGTTTAAGACGAGAAGGCTGTTGGCCTACGTGCAAGGTCCCTGCCCCTGTGTGTAGTCGCTCCAGGGTAAAAGATGGGAAGGACAGATACCCTTGCCTCTACCCTGACCTTGCCTCTTCCCTATGTGGTTAAAGGGGTGACCAGATCTCTAATCAATTTAAGACTTTTGTTTGTTTGTTTGTGTGTTTGGAGACAGAGTCTCACTCTGTGGCCCAGGCTGGAGTGCAGTGGCACAATCTCGGCTCACTGCAACCTCTGCCTCCTGGGTTCAAGCGATTCTCCTGCCTCAGCCTCCAAAGTAGTTGGGGTTACGGGTACCTGCCACCAAGCCTGGCTAAATTTTTTTGTATTTGTAGTAGAGATGGGGTTTCACCATGTTGGCCAGGCTGGTCTCAAACTCCTGACCTCAAGTGGTCCGCCTGCCTCGGCCTCCCAAAGTGCTGGGATTACAGGCGTGAGCCACCGTGCCTGGCCTAGCCTTGGGATTTTTATCTTCTGGCTCTAGATGAGAAAACCCATGGGTTTAGAGACCCAGCTGTGGTTCCTCCCTGGGGTAACTGGAGGTCCCTGGTGCCTTTACTCAGGCAGTGCTGCCTCACCCACTCCATTCCTTGTCCCCGTGGCTCCTGCTTGCAGCAGTAGAACGTGCAGCCCCCCAAGCCCTCAGTTATTCCACGGCCCCTGTGCAGTCACTGTCCCCACAAGTCACCCATCCTGGGCCCTGGCGTGCTCTCTCCATCCATCCTCTCTGTCACCTCTGTGCTGGTTTGCTCCTATCTGCATGTCAACCTGGAAATGGCTGTTGCTTTGTAGAGACCCTCTTTCCCTGACTTCAGAGCCAATTCCTTTGCTGCTGGCAGAGCTGACATTTGAAACCAACACCAACTCACAAAGCAGCTCCTCCTTTCCAGAAGCTGCCCCACTGTGGATGGGCGAGTGGCCCAGGCCTGTCGGCTGTGGCGGTGTACATGACCGCTCTGAGCTCCACCCTGACGGGCTCGAGGACCCCGTCTGCCATGTGTTTGGCTGACCGTGTGGTAGAGCTTCTTTTTGGAAAACCGAGAGAAAGTGGCCGAGGTGGGAATCTGGTTGGTGACGTTGTATTTCTGTGGCTCCACATGGTTAACCTCGTGGCTCTGATCTCCTTAAATCCCCCCTCGATTCAACGTGGTTCTGTTGATTCCTCTCTCGATCTTTTTGGCCATTGTGATCTGGTGCCATTGTTTTTGTTTTGTTTTGTTCTGTTTTGTTTTTCGAGACGGGGTCTCACTCTGTTGCCCAGGCTGGAGTGCAGTGGTGTGATCTCAGCTTACCACAACCTCCGCCTCCCGGCTTCAAGCAATTCTCCTGTCTCAGCCTCCCGAGTAGCTGTGATTATAGACGCCCACCATGCCCGGCTAATTTTTGTATTTTTAGTAGAGATGGGGTTTCACCATATTGGCCAGGCTGGTCTTGAACTCCTGGCCTTAGGTGATCCACCCACCTTGGCCTCCCGAAGGGCTGGGATTACAGACTGAGCCACTGTACCCGGCCTGATTCTGTTTGTTTGTTTGTTTGTTTTTTGTTTTTTTTGAGACAGAGTCTAACTATTTGCCCAGGCTGGAGTGCAGTGGTGTGTGATCTTGGCTCACTGCAGCCTCCGTTTACCGGGTTCAATGATTCTCTTGCCTCAGCCTCCTGAGTAGCTGGGATTACAGGCATGCGCCACCATGCCTGGCTAATTTTTGAATTTTTAGTAGAGACGGGGCTTCACCATGTTGGCCAGGCTGGTCTTGAACTCCTGACCTCGGGCGATCCACCCGCCTCTGCCTCCCAAAGTGCTGGGATTACAGGCATGAGCCGCCACACCTGGCCCTGTTGTTTTTATTTATTCAGTAAACAGCTATTGTAGGCCAAGACCTGGGTGAGATACTGGGGACACAGAAGTGACCACAGTGCAGGCCCTGCCCTTCGGGGCTCACAGCCCAGTGGGGGATTAGACATGTCTTTGCGCTTCCACACACGCTGACGGGACTGTGCTCCCCACAGCCACTGCATCCGGCTCTGTGCCAGCTGATGGTGCCGTGATTCCCCGCCGGAGCCTCCAATAGCAGCAATGATCATGATAACCACGAGAACAGCAGCAACTTGTAGCTATTCATTATTGAGTGCTTTCTATGCCTGGGTGAGCTCCAGAAGGTTTTCTGAATTTTTCTCATTGATCTTCCCCCACACTCTAGGAGGTGGATCTTATCATTATATGATGTCCATGTTATGGACAAGGAAACTGAGCTAGAGCAAGGTCATGCAGGTAGAAAGTGGAGAATCAAACACTGGAAGCTAGAAACCAGATTCCAGTTCCACGCTCTTCATCCACACGGCCCCGGCGGGGCTCCTTGGCCACACGTTGGCATGAAGCACGAGTCCACCTGTGCGCATCCTTTCCAGTAACCTTGGAGGAACCCCGAGAGGCCTGAGCAAGCTTTTGCAAACCTCGGCGCTACAGCCCTGGCGCCAGAGGGCTGCAATTGGAAGGCAGGCAGTTACCGGAAGAAGAGCGTTTCCTTGACTCTCCCAGCGTGACCTCATGTCTAATCAAAGTCGGCTCCTGTTTTCTGCAGGATTAGTCAGCATCTCTTAACTAGCAGTCCCGGCCAGGAGAGCTCCTCAGCCACGTTCCCAGCCCGTCCTCCACCCTCCCATCTTCAGCTGCCACAGCACTTTTCTCTTCCTTTCTGTGTTGTTTTGGTGCTGGGTGGACTTTGAAGGGGGCCATTAAGGGCTGGGTGTGGCAAACACACCAGACTCAGCACCCAGCGAGGTCTAGGCATGGCCACGGGATGGCACCACTGTGACCCCGGCAAGGAAAATAAGAAAGGTGCATATCGGCTGGGTGTGGCGGCTCACGCCTGTGATCCCAGCACTTTGGGAGGCAGAGGTGAGAGGATCACCTGAGGTCAGGAGTTCGAGACCAGCCTGGGCAACATGATGAAACCCCATCTTTACTAAAAATACAAACACTAGCCGGGCGCGGTGGCAGGTGCCTGTAATCCCAGCTACTCGGGAGGCTGAGGCAGGAGAATTGCTTGAACCCGGGAGGCGGAGGTTGCAGTGAGCCGAGATCGTGCTACTGCACTCCAGCCTGGGCAACAGAGTGAGACTCCGCCTCAAAAAAAAAAAGAAAAAGAAAATATCAGGGGGAGAAGGTGGCATCTGTTCTATGTTTGAGAAGGCAGCTGGACTTCCCATTGAAGGAGGCGCCGCAGTCTCCCCACATGGACAGAGGAGAACCAGGCTATTGGGGTGAGACCAGTGCTTGTGCTTCCCAAGTGGTCTGGGTTCTGCCTCCATACTGGCTGCAGTCTGTCCCCACGGACATAGCTGCCGTGAGAAGGTTCTCACCAGCCTGGGGCCCCACAGCCAAGGCTGGGCCCTGAGGTCTGCCGTTCTAGGGTGGCGGATGCTCTCGAATGGGACTCTCAGCCTGGGCTTCGTTGCTCTTCAAGGGACACACAAAGCTCCTGAAACTGTGGATAAACCTTGGTGTGCATTTTCTGGGGAGGTCTTTATTGGATTTTTCAAAGGGTCCATGGCCCCCACAAAAGTTAAGAACCTCTACATTTTCACTCCAGGGGACTTGGGCCAAATGGCCATCCAAGCCTGCTGCGGGGTAGCCTGAGCCCTCGAGAGGCCGCCAGCCAGCCCTGGCATTCCCAGTGGGGGGACTCTGAATGGGCACCTGCCCTTCTGATCTTTGGGAATCCCTGTCATGACCCTGAGGTCAGGGTTTCCTTCCCTCTTCACACAGAGAATGTCACCAATGGCACAGTGGGCGGCACAGCAGAGCCGGGGCACGAGGAGGTGAGCTGGATGAACGGCTGGCTCAGCTGCCAGGCCCAGGACGAGATGCTAAATTTGGCCTTCACTGTGGGCTCCTTTCTGCTCAGTGCCATCACCCTGCCCCTGGGTATCGTCATGGACAAGTATGGCCCGAGGAAGCTCAGGCTGCTGGGCAGGTCAGTGTGGGTCCCTTAGGGGGCAGGGAGTGGGCAGGTGGACCCCCTGGGCTGAGTTCCCCACAGAAGGGTATCCTGGTCGTACCTGATATCAGGTGTACTGTGGAGCTCCCTGAAGGCCCTCCAGAATGGAGTTCCTACCCCGTCCGCCACCGAATCAGCAGGTACTGTGGTCCTCGCCGTGCTCCAGTACCGAATAAGAAAAGCTCCAGGCTCCAGGCCGCCCAGGGACCGGAGCTGCTTGTCACTAAGAACATGTGTTTCCCATCCCTTTGTAGTTCATAAGCATGATAATTGGGGTTTCCCTCGCATGTGTGAGACATGCTTCCCTCAAACCTTGTTACGAAGCTGGCACAGTATCCATCTGATGAGAAAAAAAACCAACAACACTGGTTTCCACAGCCCGTTTGACCTTATAGCTCCACCAGAAAAAAGATTTTCAACACGTACCCCCAATATAATAAGCACATGGAATTATAAATGATGTATATCTGTGCTCTTTTTTTTTTTTTTTTTTTCAAGACGGAGTCTTGCTGTGTCGCCCAGGCTGGAGTGCAGTGGCGTGATCTCGGCTCACGGCAACCTCTGCCTCCCCAGTTCAAGCAATTCTCCTGTCTCACCCTCCCGAGTAGCTGGGATTACAGGCGCCTGCCACCACACCCAGCTAATTTTTATATTTTTCATATTTATTTATTTATTTATTTATTTATTTATTTATTGAGATGGAGTCTCCCTCTGTCGCCCAGGCTAGAGTGCAGCGGCGCGATCTCGGCTCACTGCGAGCTCCGCCTCCCGGGTTCACGCTATTCTCCTGCCTCAGCCTCCCGAGTAGCTGGGACCACAGGCGCCTGCCACCACGCCCGGCTAATTTTTTGTATTTTTAGTAGAGACGGGGTTTCACTGTGTTAGCCAGGATGGTCTCGATCTCCTGACCTTGTGATCTGCCCGCCTCGGCCTCCCAAAGTGCTGGGATTACAGGCGTGAGCCATCGTGCCTGGCCCCTATGCCATTCTTTTTTTTTTTTTTTTCCTTTTGAGTTGGAGTTTTGCTGTTGTTGCCCAAGCAACTGGAGCTGGAGTGCAGTGGCTCCCGGCCCCCTATGCCATTCTTAATGTGCTTTATAATACATATACAAAAATATAAATGAAAATGGGCTGGGCACGGTGGCTTACACTGGTAATCCCAGCTTTTTGGGAGGCAGAGTTGGGTGGGTCACCTGAGGCCAGGAGTTCGAGACCAGCCTGGCCAACATGGTGAAACCCTGTCTCCACTAAAAATAAAAAAATTAGCCACGCGTGGTGGTGGGCGCCTGTAATATCCCAGCTACTTGGGAGGCTGAGGCAGGAGAAATGCTTGAACCTGGGAGGCGGAGGTTGCAGTGAGCCGAGATCGCGCCACTGCACTCCAGCCCGGGTGACAGAGCAAGGCTCTGTCTCAAGAAAAACCAAAAACCAAAAACAAAAACAAAACAATAACACTGAATAAAGTCATAATGGTAAATAACATTGCGTTTCTGCTTGGTTTTAGCGCCTGCTTCGCGGTTTCCTGCTTGCTGATTGCGTACGGAGCAAGTAAACCAAACGGTGAGTGTCCTCTCCCTCCATCTTCTGTCAGGGACCGGGGAGAGAGTGCCCTGAGCTGCTCCCAGGCCCACCTGCTCTTGGACACTGTCCTGGGCCTGCTGCTCCCTGCTCAAGTTAGAGGGGACACCTGTTACGCCTCTACTCAGTTACTTATCTCAAATAGACGGCGAGATCAGAG
Source organism: Homo sapiens (assembly GCF_000001405.40). Classification (NCBI taxonomy): domain Eukaryota; kingdom Metazoa; phylum Chordata; class Mammalia; order Primates; family Hominidae; genus Homo; species Homo sapiens. The sequence continues at coordinate 1,614,800 of NC_000017.11, read as the reverse complement.
AGCAGCCACCCCAGACAGGAGCTTCCAGGGTATGAGCAACTTCCATCTCATCACCAAACCAAGCCAGTCCCTCACTGATGCCAACCTGAGAGGCAAGTTCTAAGAACCAGGCCGGCTGCAGGGGCATGGTCATCGGTGTGTGCAGAAGTCACAAGCTGAGTCCCCTCCAGGCAGCACAGGCCAAAGCATGAAGGATGGCTTAGAAGCCACCTGGTCCCCAACCCTGTTCAAGGATTTGTAGAGCAAACACCAAAAGAGGACTCGAGTTTCACCAAAATCTTAGCCAGGCTCATCTACTGATTTTCAGGAACCTGTATTTTTGGTTTCTTAGGCCTCCTGCTCGCTGCTGTTTGTTTTTTTGTTGTTGTTGTTTTGTTTTGTTTTGTTTTAGAGACAGGGTCTCTCTCTGTCACCCTGGCTGGAGTGCAGTGGTGCAGTCACAGCTTACTGCACCCTGGACCTCCCAGGCTCAAGCGATCGTCCCACTTCAGCCTCCAGAGTAGCTGGGACTACAGGCACGCACACACACAGCTAGCTAATTTTTTTGTTGTTGTTGTTGAGACAGAGTCTCCCTCTGTCGCCCGGGCTGGAGTGCAATGGCGCAATCTCAGCTCACTGCAACCTCCACCTCCCGGGTTCACGCCATTCTCCTGCCTCAGCCTCCTGTGTAGTTGGGACCACGGGCACCCGCCACCACGCCTGGCTAATTTTTTGTATTTTTATTAGAGATGGGGTTTCACTGTGTTAACCAGGATGGTCTTGATCTCCTGACCTCGTGATCCACCTGCCTCAGCCTCCCAAAGTGCTGGGATTACAGGCGTGAGCCACCGCGCCTGGCTTCACCTGGCTAATTTTTAACTTTTTTTTAGAAATGGGGTCTCACTTTGTTGCCCAGGCTGGTCTTGAACCCCTGGGCTCAAGCAATTCTCCTGCTTCAGCCTCCCAAAGTGTTGGGATTCTAGGTGTGAGTCACTGCGCCTGGACACTGCTAATATTAATTGGAGAAAAGAAGATGGGTGTGCAGCTTTTTCAAGAGCCCACGCTTTGTGAAATAGGCAAGAGGAGGCTGGGCATGGTGGCTTATGCCTGTAATCTTAGCGCTTTGGGAGGCTGAGATCGGCAGATCACCCGAGGCCAGGAGTTCGAGACCAGCCTGGCCAACATGGCAAGACATACAAAAATTAGCCGGGTGTGGTGGCGCATGCCTGTAATCCCGGCTACTTGGGAGGCTGAGGCAGGAGGATCACTTGAACCCGGGAGTCAGAGGTTGCAGTGAGCCAGGATCGTGCCATTGCACTCCAGCCTGGGTGACAAGAGCAAAACTACGTCTCGATTAAAAAAGAAAAAGAAATAGGCCTAGAGGAGGGGGTGAGAAAGGGGCAGTTCCACTCCCCAGATGTCAGGTACTAACCCCGGCCTGCGTTTACTGGATTTACTGGGAGCCTGCACCGCGCAGGACTCTGGGCTGGTCCCGGCTTCCCTGGAGCTCAGCTGGGGTCTCCACTCACGAGCTTTCCATGTCCCTGCAGCTCTCTCCGTGCTCATCTTCATCGCCCTGGCTCTGAATGGCTTTGGTGGGATGTGTATGACCTTCACCTCATTAACAGTGAGTACAGATTTTTTAAAGCTCTGTAGTTCAGTAATCTGTTTCTAAATTTGAGGCCGCTTTGATTGGTTTCTGTTTCCTTGCCTTCCATGTGCCTGCATGTGCCTGGGTGTCCCAAACAGTAGAGGGGCTATGGGCGAGGTGGCCTGGCAGGGCCTCCTCAGCTGAGGTCCACAGGCAGCAGGGCGTGGCTTCACAATCCCTTGCCTTTTTTTTTTTTTTTGAGACGGAGTCTTGCTCTGTCGCCCAGGCTGGAGTGCAGTGGGGGGATCTCGGCTCACTGCAACCTCCGCGTCCCAGGTTCAAGCGATTCTCCTGCCTCAGCCTCCCGAGTAGCTGGGACTATGGGCGTGCGCCACCACACCCGGCTAATTTTTGTATTTTTAGTACACATGGGGTTTCGCCATGTTGGTCAGGCTGGTCTCAAACTCCTGACCTCAGGTGATCCACCCGCCTTGGCCTCCCAAAGCGCTGGGGTGACAGGCGTGAGCCACCTGGCCTGGCCGACATTCCCTGCCTTCTGATCTGGGCTTTGATGCTGCGGAAGCAGCTCACTAGCCTTGTGCCCAAGGAAGGCAGAGGCAGGAAGACAAAACGCTGCCGCCCACTTTCTTTTCCTGTTTTCCTCGGCAGCTGTCATCAGGGTCTCCGGGAGCTTCGGCTCATGGAGCAGCCTGACCACCCGCCTCCCGTGGAACTGCCTCAACCTTTGCCTTTGTCCGGAGCCAGATGGAAAATGCAGGGAACATCTGGTCTTCTGCTCCTCTTGTTTCCTCCGTGCCCGGGCACAGACAGTCGCCTGGGGGAGATGTTTTCTCGGGGTACTAAGCACCCCCTTGTTGGGAGCCCCAGGACATCACAAAATATGCTCCTTCTTGATGTCAGGGAGGCAGAAGGAAGGTGGGGTTGAAAGAAAGAAAGTCAAAAAAGGGGCTGGGCATGGTGGCTCACACCTGAAATCCCAGCACTTTGGGAGACTGAGGCAGGCGGATCACTTGAGGTCAGGAGTTTGAGACCAGCCTGGCCAACATGGTGAAACCCCGTCTCTACTAAAAAATACAAAAATTAGCCGGGCGGGTGGTGCATGCCTGTAATCCCAGCTACTCGGAGGCTGAGGCGGGAGAATTGCTGGAACCTGGGAGGCGGAGGTTGCCGTGAGCCAAGATCAAGCCACTGCACTCCAGCCTGGGCGACAGAGCCAGACTCTGTCTCAAAAACAACAACAAAAAAGAAAGTCAAAAGAGGAACCAAAAAGTCTCTCCCAGAGGGAAGAAGGGAACTCTGTGGGCTCGCCCAGTTGGGCAATTGTGCCATTCCGAGCTGGCCATTGGGAAAGAAGTGAGAATAATAGCTTCTTCAGAGAGGCTTCTGTCCATCAAGGAAACCTCGCCTGCATCAGTTTACCGGTGAAAAAGTTTCTAAGACACAGTACCTACCATTACTATTTGTGGTACACTCTGGTTTCTGATTTCCCTTGTCGTGCCATTGAAGGGTTCTTGTTTAGCTTTGAGGGAGCTCTGGGGGCTTCTGGACCTCTTCTTTTTTCCTTTTTCTTTTTTTTTTTTTTGAGTCTGCTCGGTTGCCCAGGCTGGAGTGCAGTGACGCAATCTTGGCTCACTGCAACCTCCGCCTCCCGGGTTCAGGCAATTCTCCTACCTCAGCCTCCCGAGTAGTTGGGACTATAGGCGTGCACCATCACGCCTCGCTAATTTTTGTATTTTTAGTAGAGACGGGGTTTCACCATGTTGGCCAGGCTGGTCTCATACCCCTGATCTCAGGCAATCTGCCCGCCTCAGCCTCCCAAAGTGCTGGGATGACAGGCGTGAGCCACGGCGCTCGGCCGAAAACCAGCAGCTCTTTCATCAGCATGAAAACTAAAAACCTGGCCTCACCTCCATTATTTTAGTCACGCGACGCCTCTGTCACGGCAGGCCTGAATTTCAGGGATAAAGGAACGAGATGGTCCTTGAGCTTGAGGACCTCACACCCCGAAATGCCGAGAGGTGTTTTGTCTGAAAAACGACCAAGAATCCCTGTTAAGAAAGACTTTAGGCCGGGTGCGGTGGCTCACACCTGTAATCCCAGCACTCCGGGAGGCCGATGGGGGTGGTGGATCATGAGGTCAGGAGTTCGAGACCAGCCTGGCCCAAGATAGTGAAACCCCGTCTCTACTAAAATATACAAAAATTAGCTGGGCACAGTGGTGGGTCCCTGGAATCCCAGCTACTTGGGAGGCTGAGGCAGGAGAATCGCTTGAGGCCGGGAGGCGGAGTTTGCAGTGAGCCGAGATCGCGCCACTGAACTCCAGCCTGGGTGACAAGATCAAGACTCCCCCTCAAAAAAAAAAAAAGGAAAAAAAGAAAGACTTTAAAAGGGACCCTGCGGTTGGAGCTAATAGGCCAGTAAGAATTCTTTGTCTTTTTTTATGTTTTATAATTATAAAACAAAATTTTTTTCATTACATTTTTTATTTTCATTTTTTACAGATGGGGTCTTACTATGTTGACCAGGCTGGTCTCAAACTCCTGGGCTCAACAGATCCTCCCACCTTGACCTCCCAAAGTGCTGGGATTCCAGGTGTGAGCCACCATACCTGGCCCAAAAATGATTTTATTTTAAAAATTCAGGTTGGGAGCAGTTGCTCACACCTGTAATCCCAGCACTTTGGGAGGCTAAGGTGGGAGGATCATTTGAGGCCAGGGTTGAGACCAGCCTGGGCAACATAGCGAGACACCTTGTCTCTCCAATTTTTTTTTTTTTTTAATTAGCCAGGGCATGGTGGCAGTTGCTTGTAGTCCCAGCTCCTCGGGAGGCTGAGGTGGGAGGAAGGCTTGAGCCCAGAAGTTCCAGGCCACAGTATGCCACAATGACACCACTATATTCCAGCCTGTGTGACAGAGCGAGACCTTGTCCCAAAAATAAAAGTAAAAATTTAACATTTCAGAAATATGAATTGTAGACTAAACTTCTATGAGCCTGCCAGGCGCAGTGGCTCACACCTGTAATCCCAGCACTTTGGGAGGCTGAGAAGGTTCCCATCACCTGAGGTCAGGAGTTCGAGACCAGCCTGGCCAACATGGTGAAATGAAACCCCATCTCTACTAAAAATACAAAAATATTACTCGGGCATGGTGGCACACGCCTGTAATCCCAGCTACTTGGGAGACTGAGGCAGGAGAATCGCTTGAACCTGGGTGGCGGAGGTTGCAGTGAGCCGAGACCGCGGCATTGCATTCCAGCCTGGGCAACAAGAGCGAAACTCCGTTTAAAAAAAAAAAATTCTATCAGCCTGTCTTCATCAGTTTGGAATATATTTCTTCAGTATTTAAAAGATCTGCATGTACCAGTGTTATTCTTTTTTTTTTTCTTAAAAAAAAAAGAACTGTGATAACTTGCCTTTTCCCTTAATGTATCTTTTACATCCTTTCCTGTCAGTACTTAGAGATCTGCCTTATTATTAAGCAGTTCTGTATATTATTCTTTAATATAGATGGACCATCATTTATTCAACCTGTTTCCAACTAATGGACTTTTGGCTTGGTTCCCAATTTTTCCAATTTATGAATGCTGCTGAAGTGAGCATCCCTGTACATGTATTTCTGTAAAATAAGTTCCTGGCAGCCCTGGGCCACAGGATTAGCATGTTTTAAAATTTAATATGTACTGTTAAATAGTCTTCTAAAAATGTTATCTGGCCGGGCGCAGTGGCTCACGCCTGTAATCCCAGCACTTTGGGAGGCTGAGGCGGGCAGATCACCTGAGGTCAGGAGTTCGAGACCAGCCTGACCAGTATGGTGAAACCCCGTCTCTACTAAAAATACAAAAATTAGCTGGGCTTGGTGGAGGGCGCCTGTAATCCCAGCTACTTGGGAGGCTGAGGCAGGAGAATCGCTTGAACCCGGGAGGCAGAGGTTGCAGCGAGTCGAGATTGCGCCACTGCACTCCGGCCTGGGCGACGAGTGAAATTCTGTCTCAAAAAAAAGCCTGCCTGCCACCACAGGCCCACCAGCACGTACACGAGTGTCTTTTCCTCCATGTCCCTTCCAGTGCCATGTCATTCCTCTTTAAAACATAGCCACTCTGATCCTATGAAAAACGACATGCCATTTTTAAAATTTATTTCATTATTAGTGAGACAGAGCATTTTTTCTCCTCTTTATTGGTAAATTGCATTTCTTCTGTGAATTGCTTCTTTGTGTCATTTGTCTATTTTTCTACAGTGCTCTTGATTTTATTATTATTAGTATTTAGTGACTCGTAAGAGCTCTTTCAAATACAAAGACACTAGTGTTCTTTCCGAGTGAGCAGGAGATCTTACCCTGGGGTTTTCAGGTCTCTACATGGTCCATGAGTAAGCTTCAGGAGAGCCGTGCACACCCTTGAAATTCCATGCCAACAAAGCGTGTGTAGGTGCTGCTCAGCTGTGTCTTTCTGGAGGGGAGGGTCCATTACTTTCACTGGCCTCTGGCAGGTCTGTGTGAAGGCTAAAAACCACTGCGGTGGCCGGGTGCGGTGGCTCACACCTGTAATCCCAGCACTTTGGGAGGCCAAGGTGGGTGGATCACCTGAGGCCAGGAGTTCAAGACCAGCCTGGCCAACATGATGAAACCCAATCTGTACTAAACATGCAAAAATTAGCCTGGGATGGTGGCATGTTCCTGTAATTCCAGCTACTCGGGAGGCTGAGGTGGGAGAATTGCTTGAACCCGGGAGGCGGAGGTTGCAGTGAGCTGAGATCGCACCACTGCACTCCAGCCTGGGTGGCAGAGTGAGACTCCGTCTTAAAAAAAAAAACAAAACACACAAACCACTGTGGCAGGAGCGTTTCTATTCACTCTTTGCTCTCCCACTGGAGGCAAAAAGCTACACAGGCTAGAGAGTGACCAGGCAAGAGAGTCACCTGATCACCATTTGAAGCGTTTGGCTACCAGAGGTCTGTCTAAGGGAGGCTGTTGGTTTGTTCTTCAAGGTTTTCATTTTTTGATCTAGAGCAGGAGTCAGCAAACCGCCATTGCCAGGCCAAATCCAGACCACTGCCTGTTTTTGTAAACAAAACTTCATGGGGTAGAGCTGTGCCTGTTTGCTCCTGTCTGTGGCTGCTTTTGTGGTATCTCATCAGAGTCAACGCAGTCGTGACAGAGGCCATATGGCTTGTAAAGCCCAAAAGGTCTACTGTCTTAGCCAGGCACACTAGCTCACGCCTGTAACCCCAGCACTTTGGGAGGCTGAGGCGGGTGGATCACCTGAGCTCATGAGTTTGAGAGCAGGCTGGCCAACATGGTGAAACCCCGTCTCTACTAAAAATGCAAAAATTAGCCAGATGTGGTGGTGGGCGCCTGTAGTCCCCACGACTCAGGAGGCTGAGGCAGGAGAATTGCTTGAACCCGGGAGGCAGAGGTTGCAGTGAGCTGAGATTGTGCCACTGCACTCCAGCATGGGTGACAGAGCGAGACTCTGACTCAAAAAAAAAAAAGTCTATTGTCTGGCCCTTTATGGAAAAAGTTTGCCAACCCTTGGTCCAGAGGCCCCAGGAAGCTGCTACGTCACTGTTCCTCGTCTGAGGGCATGTGCTGACACCCACCATTCACACCCACACCCTCTGGTTGCATGGGCCAGCTCTCCTTCTAAGTCATCTCTTTCTGCCTCCCCCCAGGGTGGAGGGAGTTCCATGGGCATTCCCCTGCCCCCTGAGGCCTCTGATGAGGGCTCCAGTGCCTGCTCCTTGAGAACAGACCCCAAAAGGGAAATGAGGTCAGTGAGGACAGGGCTGAAGCAGTTAAGCAACACTCTTGGGCTGACTGGGGCTTCTGCTGAGCAGAGCCGAATCTCATTCTGATACAACCCAGGACTTCAGAAAGCAGAACTGTCGGGATCAGCTCCCAGAGACGCCAAGCTCAGGGCACAATGGCACTTTCTGTTTGTGTCTCCCACCCGTGTTCTAATTTGGGGGACAAAGGAGTCTCCAGGGTCGCCTTTAGGAATTTCTAACTCCAATCTTCAACAACCATGTTGGGGCTGTGGATAATAGCTCTGTGATAACCCAGGACTCTAGGGGACGGCGCTGTGGAAGCCTTAATTCGGGGACTTCCTGGGTCCCGGGGCCTTTGTGCTGCATGGGCTGTGGTCTAAATACAGATGACCAGGGGCTGCGAGCTGTTACCCCCACTGGTAGGAGAGGGGGCTCCAAGCGGGCACACGCCTTTTCCTTGTAGTCCAGAAGGAGATGGCCATGAGCCATCCTTCCAGAGCCCAAGAGGTCGGCACCCATGGTGGTATTTCCCTCCCAAGTGGAGGCTCCGAGGGGCAAGGGTGGCTGTCGCGTCAGGTAGGCTGCCCAGTAGCCAGTGCTGGCTCTCCCAGGGCCCTGCAGCACAGGGCCTGGGCCATCGCGTGCCATCCGTGGAGGGCGGACGCCAGGTCACTCCATGGGGGCAGAGCACTCCCCACGGTGTGGATCCTCAGCCTCCCCCGGGACATCTGGACGGCACGCTCAGTGTTTGTTCAGTGCCTCGCGTTTGTACAGCCCTTTGCACTCGCTTCATCGGCTGGAGCACAAACACGGCCGGCGGCTGAGGCCGCATCTTGGGGTCGCCACCCTCCAACCCGGAGCCTGGGTTGCTTAGAGATGGGAGCAGCTGTAGCCAAAATTGTGAACCTGCCATTTCCACTCCATTACTCTGACCCCTGTCCCCGTGGGTGGGATGGGGATTTCTCAGCAGAAGCCACACAGAAAAGCGGGTTTCAAAATGTTGCCAGGCTCCCCGATGAGACATTTCTCTGTGGATTTTCCCTTTTGATTCCTTCAAGTCTGACTTTAAACCTGAGGAAGGCATGATTTCATGGGAGGTGGGATCTGAGGGAAGTGAAGAGGATAAACATCCCTCTTCAGATCCTGGAGAGGAGGGCAGGATGGCAGATGCCCCCAGAGAGGGGACAGGAGTTTAGTGCCGTGGCTCAGTAGACCCCGCGTCTGCAGCCAGGAGAGGGTCCCACGGTGGCCCCCGGCCAGCTCTGGAGGGTCCAGGAGAGGGTCCCGCGGTGGCCCCCGGCCAGCTCTGGAGGGTCTAGGTGCCTGGTGAGCGGGACTTGCCAGTGCCCAGTGCCTGCTGTGCCTCCCCACCTTCCTCTCTTTCTGTCCTGTACCTTGGGGAAGCTCAGGCAGTCAGCTACTTGCCATTGGTTTGGGGAGAATTTGCCATCTGAGGGTTCTGCCTCATGAATTTGCTGCAGTATGTGACCACGTTCAGACGGAAAGGGCAGCGGTATTGGCAGGACTGGACCCGGCCGGGAAGGCACAGGAGGTGGCCGGGGGAGGGGAGCACACCCTTCCCCTCCCTTCAGCACTGAAGCAGAAAGGTGACCACAAGGACCTTGTCCCGGGCAGCATGTGCTTGGAGGTGCCCGGTTGTTGTGGGTAGGAAACAGCCCAGCCTGGCAGAGTCTACCTGTGCAGTCTGGTTCCGGGATCCCGGCCTGTGCAGGTTGTACAGAACTCTGGGTGTGTACTCCAGCCACTTGGGGACAAGGCTCCCTCTGGAGGGGACCCGAGGGCCAGAATGCCAGCCCCCACCCACCACCCAGCTCCCCAGCCCCCACCCACCTCCCAGCTCCGCAGCCCCCACCCACCACCCAGCTCCCCAGCCTCCTGCAGGCCAGGGAGGACTCGGGAGTCCGTGGATGTGGAAAGTCAGGGCCGGGGGTGCCACGGTTGCCCCTTGTTTCTGCCTGCCAGCAATGCCATGGCCTGCCCTGGGCCAAAAGGCACGTACGTCCGGCATCTTAGAGAAGCTCCCGCGCCCGCACTGTCCCAGGGCCTTGGCCCTGCAGGCACTCCTGTCCGGTGGTCATGCTCTATGGCCAGAATGCCAGGGGAGGGGCCGCCTGCAGCTGCTGTTTTCCCCTCTGGGAAGGTCACACAGTCCGGCCTGTTTATGCTGCAGCCAGGGGGCTGAAAGAGAGAGAGTCACGGGCTTCCCTGTGTGACTGAGGCTGCGTGGAGGCAGTGAGTGAACAGCCCGGGCTGGCAGGACAGGTTGACCCGCACGGAGGCAGAGGCGGCGAGGGGGCTGTGGGAAGCACCTGAGGGCGGGAAGAGGGGCTTGCACTCCCACCTGTGAGTGTGGTGGTGAGTCAGGAAACAGCTCCGGCTTCCTGCTTGGCAGCAAAGCTGGTCCTTCCCCTCCTGGGGTCCTTCCCCTCCGCCAGCCCTCGAGGCCCGCGCTAGGGCGCTCTGCTCAGCGCTCAGCCCTCACTCCGGCACCGCGGCTTCGAACAGCCATTATGCGCAGCTGAGACCGGTGGAGGCAGGGAAGCTGGGGACGGAGTGAGCGAGAGGGGGAATGTGGGGAGTGACCCAGATGTCAGGATGACCTACGGGAGTCCACAGGCAAATGCAAGCCCATCCGATGCTGTGGCGCTGGACCATGGGGAGGTCAGCCGAAGGCAACAGCAGGAGGTGAGGGCAGGGGGCAGATGGGTCTAAAAGGAGCTTCAGAAGGAATGTAAGCCATCTCTAGTTGGGGACTGGGCATTGTGGTATCCCCCTGTAGTCTCAGCTGCTCAGGAGGCTGAGGTGGGCAGATGAGTTGAGCCCAGGAGTTCTGCACAATAGCGTGCTGTGTTGATGAGATGTCTACACTAAGTTCAGCATCAGTGTGGTGACCTCCGGGGGGTGAGGGACCCCCAGGTTGCCTAAGGAGGGCTGAACCGGCCCAGGTCAGAAACAGAGCAGGTCAAAAGTGTCCTGCTGATCAGTAGAGGGATCATGCCTGTGAATAGCCACTGCGCTCCAGCCTGGGCAATACAGCATGACCTCATCTCCAAAAACAAATTTAAAAAAATGACCGGGCGCGGTGGCTCACGCCTGTCATCCCAGCACTTTGGGAGGCCGAGGCGGATGGATCACCTGAAGTCAGGAGTTCGAGACCAGCCTGGCCAACATGGCGAAACTCCATCTCTACTCAAAATACAAAAAAAAAATTAGCTGGGCATCGTGGCGTAGTGGCACATGCCTGTAATCCCAGCTACTCGGGAGGCTGAGGCAGGAGAATCGCTTGAACCAGGGAGGTGGAGCTTGAAGTGAGCTGAGATTGTGCTGCTGCACTGTAGCCTTGGCGACAGAGTGAGGCTCTGTCTCAAAAAATAAATAAGTAAATGAATGAAAAATAAACCTCTAGTTGAAGGGCGCAGATTGGATCTTAATAAGGCACATGTAAAAGCCGTGGGATCCAAACTGAAGTGTGTATTGGCCGGAGCCACAGGAGACTCCAGAGAGGCAGCGTGGCCTGGGGCCTACACACAGAGGCTTGGCCTGGCTTGAATCCCCAATCTGACCATTACTAGCTTGGGGGAGTCCCTTGACTTTTCTAATCTTTAAGTTTTTGTTTTGTTTTGTTTTGTTTTGTTTTTTGAGGCAGAGTTTCACTCTTGTTGCCCAGACTGGAGTGCAATGGCGCGATCTCAACTCACTGCCACCTCTGCCTCCTGGGTTCAAGCGATTCTCCTGCCTCAGCCTGCCGAGTAGCTGGGATTACAGGTGCACGCCACCACGCCTGGCTAATTTTTTGTATTTTTAGTAGAGATGGGGTTTCACCGTATTGGCCAGGCTGGTCTCGAACTCCTGACCTCAGGTGATCCCCTGCCTCGGCCTCCCAAAGTGCTGGGATTACAGGTGTGAGCCACCGCGCCCGGCCTCATGGTGTTTTTTGACCAATAAAAGTTTTTAAATAGGTGGTCAAAAGTGTGTTTCAGCTTTTAGGGAGTACCTAGCATTTGTGTCAAATGAAACCTCTCTGAAGAGAACATGAAGGATGACCTTGACCAGTGAAACCCAAAGCATAAACATCCTGACAGCAGTCAATGTGTGGTCACAACAGAATAACAAGGACAGGAGAAGAAAGGCCATCTCTGTGGACACTAATTATTTATTTAAAGGGGAATACTAATTTGTGTTTTATCCTGTAGTCGGCTTCCTTTTCTTCCTCCCAGAGCTGTGGTTCCTGCCAGAGGACACTTCCCTCGTTGGCTATGCCCAGGAGCAGCTTGACCAGAAGATTTTCCCTGTTATGAAGTCATAACACATATCATAATAGTAACTATTGTTAATACCTACCCTATTTATGATCTTTAAAACCCTCGGCCGGGCGCAGTGGCTCACGCCTGTAATCCCAGCACTTTGGGAGGCTGAGGCGGGTGGATCACCTGAGGTCAGGAGTTCGAGACCAGCCTGGCCAACATGGTGAAACCCTGTCTCTACTAAAAATACAAAAATTAGCCGGGTGTGGTGGCGGGTGCCTGTAATCCCAGCTACTTGGGAGGCTGAGGCAGGAGAATCGCATGAACCCGGGAGGTGGAGGTTGCGGTGAGCCGAGATTGCACCATTGCACTCCAGCCTGGGCAATAAGAGCGAAACTCCATCTCAAAAAAAAAAAAAAAAACTGAAAAAACAAAACACCATGAATTAAGAAGTTAAATGACAAACTAGGAAAATTTATTCATAGTATATAGAACTGTGAATGTCTTCATTTTATTTTATTTTTATTAATTTTTGAGACAAGAGTCTCGCTCTGTCGCCCAGGCTGGAGTGCAGTGGCACAATCTCGGCTCATTGCAACCTCTGCCTCTGGGGTTCAAGCGATTTTTCTGCCTCAGCTTCCCAAGTAGCTAGGATTACAGGTGCCTGCCACCATGTCCGGCTAATTTTTGTATTTTTAGTAAAGACGAGGTTTCACTATGTTGGCCAGGCTGGTCTCAAACCCCTGACCTCAGGTGATCCGCTTGCCTCGGCCTCTGAAAGTGCTGGGATTACAGGTGTGAGCCACCGTGCCCGGCCTGTGAATGAATGTCTTTAATACATAAAGAGCCTTCACAAAATCAATATACAAAGATTGGCCGGGTGCAGTGGCTCATGCCTGTAATCATTGCAGTTTGGGAAGCCAAGGTGGAAGGATCGCTGGAATCCAGGAGTTCAAGACCAGCCTGGGCAATAGAGTGAGACCCTGTCTCTATAAAAATAATTAAAACAAAGCTGAAGGAGACCTTGCTATGCAGCCCCCTGCCGCTTGTGCACCCTTGTCGACCCACACGCACCTTCAGGAGGGCGGCGCACACCTGGGGTAGTCACAGTGCAGGACTCTGGCTCAATAGCGCCTTTGCATTGGTTTGGACCTTCGGGAGGGCGGTACACGTCTGGGGTAGTCTCAGTGCAGGACTCTGGCTCAATAGTGCCTTTGCATTGGTTGGGACCTTCGGGAAGGCAGTGCATGCCTGGGGTAGTCTCGGTGCAGAAGGACTCTGGCTCAGTAGCACCTTTGCATCAGTTTGGACCTTCGGGAGGGCGGTGCAGAAGGACTCTGGCTCAATAGTGGCTTTGCATCGGTTTGGACCTTCCGGAGGGTGGTACACGCCTGGGGTAGTCTCAGTGCAGGACTCTGGCTCAATAGCACCTTTGCATTGGTTTGGACCTTCGGGAGGGCAGTACATGTCTGGGGTAGTCTCAATGCAGGACTCTGGCTCAGTAGCGCCTTTGCATTGGTTTGGACCTTCGGGAGGGCGGTGCATGCCTGGGGTAGTCTCAGTGCACGACTCTGGCTCAGTAGCGCCTTTGCATCGTTTTGGACCTTTGGGAGGGCGGTGCATGCCTGGGGTAGTCTCGGTGCAGAAGGGCTCTGGCTCAGTAGCGCCTTTGCATCAGTTTGGCCTTGGCTCCCAGCACTGGTTGTTTCCAGCGGGGTTGTCGGCTGTGTGAAGCAGGCCGTGTGCCTCTCTGGCTGTGGGGCTCTGTTCGGTGGTGTAGCAGGCCTGAGTGCTTATTAGCCATCTCGGGATCCAGGGAACATTTGGGTTTTCCCAGCTACACCTGGAAACTTGGCGGGCATATGGGAATGAGATTCTACCACTCTGGAAGATTCATGCCCACAGGTTTCATTGCAGTTTGCTGATGGTCCGCAAGCCTGAAATTAGCGTGTGGAACAGACCCCTTTGGTAGCAGTCTAGTGCCAGCTCAGACCTACGAAGAATTAAAAATCTGCAAACTTCCACTATTTTCAATGTCTTAAGGGAAATAAATGCAGCATTTTTGCATTTCTGACATTTTACTTAAAACAAACAAACAAACAAACAAACAAACACCACCAAACTGGGAGGGGTGGAAAATCAGTCGCTACCACAACAACCCTATGGAGGCAGCAAATATGCAACGCGATTCTTGTATTCAGATGTTATCTTTTCTTTCGGTATCTCTAGGTAAAATCTCAAGGGTAAAATGTTAGTTGTCAACATTGAGGGTCCTGAAACCTGATTCCTCACTCAGAGGAACAGTGTGGAAAAAAAAAAAAAAGTCTGGGCGCAATGGTTCACGCCTGTCATCCCAACACTTTGAGAGGCTGAGGTGGGCAGATCGCTTGAGGTCAGGAGTTTGAGACCAGCCTGACCAACATGGTGAAACCCTGTCTCTACTAAAAATACAAAAATTACCTGGATGTCATAGCAGGTGGCTATAATCCATCCCAGCTGCTCGGGAGGCTGAGGCAGGAGAATCATTTGAACCTGGGAGGCAGAGGTTGCAGTGAGCCAGAATCGTACCATTGCACTCCAGCCTGGATGACAGAGCGAGACCATGTCTCCAAAAAAAAAAAAAAAAAAAAAGAGGAAAGAAAAAAAAATCTCTTATGAGATTTAGAATGTCTCTTCTTTTGCTCACCTTAGAGCACAGACCTACTTTGAAATTATGTTAAATGAAATATTGGAAGGGCGCGGTGGCTCATACCTGTAATCCCAGCATTTTGGGAGGCTGAGGCGGGCGGATCACTTGAGGTCAAGAGTTTGAGACCAGCCTGGCCAACATGGCTAAACCCCGTCTCTACTAAAAATACAAAAATTAGCCAGGCGTCGTGGCAGGCACCTGTAACCCTGGCTACTCGGGAGGCTGAGGCAGGAGAATTGCTTGGACCCGGGAGGTGGAGGTTGCAGTGAGCCGAGATAGCACTACTGCACTCCAGCCTGGGTGACAGAGCCAGACTCCGTCTCAAAAAAAAAAAAAAAATATATATATATATATATTCAATTAATATATAGCTTACTGTAAAAAAAAAAAAGAAAGATTAACATCCCCATAGAAAAAAAGGACAAATATAAATGATTTTTTTTTTTTTGAGACGGAGTCTTGCTCTGTCACCCAGGCTGGAGTGCAGTGGCGCAATCTCAGCTCACTGCAAGCTCTGCCTCCCAGGTTCACGCCATTCTCCCGTCTCAGCCTCCCGAGTAGCTGGGACTACAGGCGCCCGCCACCACGCCCAGCTAATTTTTTGTATTTTTAGTAGAGACGGGGTTTCACTGTGTTAGCGAGGATGGTCTCGATCTCCTGACCTCATGATCCACCCGCCTCAGCTTCCCAAAGTGCTGGGATTACAGGCGTGAGCCACCGCGCCTGGCCAAATAATTTTTTAAGTTGTAGAAAAATGTTGAAAGTCATTAGTAAAAGTTTTTTGTTTTTTTGAGACGGAGTCTAACTGTGTTGCCCAGGCTGGAGTGCAGTGGCTCAGTCTCTGCTCACTGCAACCTCTATCTCCCAAGTTCAAGCGATTCTGCTGCTTCAGCCTCCCAAGTAGCTGGGACTACAGGTGCCTGCCACCACGCCCAGCTAATTTTCTTTATTTTTGGTAGAGACAGGGTTTCACCATGTTGGCCAGGCTGGTCTTGAACTGCTGGCCTCAAGTGATCCACCTGCCTCAGCCTCCTAAAGTGCTGGGATTATAGATGTGAGCCACTGCGTCTGGCCTCAGGGTGATTTTTACCTTATTCTTTTTATACTTTGCTCCAAACATTTTGCAATGGATATGCTTTTCTTTTCTTTTTTTGAGACAGAGTCTCACTCTGTCGCCAGGCTGGAGTGCAGTGGCATGATCTTGGCTCATTGCAACCTCTGCCCCCTGGGTTCAAGCAATCCTCCTGCTTCAGCCTCCCAAGTACCTGGGACTACAGGTGCACGCCGCCACACCCGGCTAATTTTTGGTATTTTTAATAGAGATGGGGTTTCACCATGTTGGCCAGGATGGTCTCGATCTCGTGATCCGCCCACCTCAGCCTCCCAAAGTGTTGCGATTACAGGCGTGAGCCACCGCGCCCAGCCCAGGCATTGCCGTTCTAAGGAAAAGATCATAATTAAAAATACAAGATGTCAGTGTTGGTTTGAAGGCTACCTAGTGTGGTTCCCCTGAGGCACTCTACTCCCTAAGGAATGGCCCTGCTGACCAGAATAACATGTTGGGAAGAATTTTCTTGGTGCTGGTAAGAATGTTCCAGGCGGCAAGAGGCAGGGCATCAAAGGGAGCAGCTGGGAGGCCCCTGCCCTGTCCAGGCCTGAGGGCAAGGCCTCATCCATGGACAGATGGAGAGTCGGCCTCTTCCCCAGGTTCTGCTCTTCCCCATCCTGGATCTAGTGCTGGGGAGAAGACTCCAGAAGACCAGGCAGGGCCACATGGTCACCCCAGGGCCCTGTGGCTCTGTTGGTCTGTAGCCTAGGTTAGGGTTAAGGCAGGCAGGCTTGAGATTAAAAAGGTAGAAGGAAAATGCCTAGCTAGCAAGCTCTCTGCTTTTCCGGAACATTCTCTAGCTCTGTTGAAAAGTTTGAGACACTCTTTTTACCCAAAGGTGACTGCAGCAACCTACATGTTAGCCTCACCTGACCCTGCACCAAGGGAGCCAGGCTCTGGGCTTCCATTTGCCCTTCTGGTTGGGTTCCAAGCCTTCTCTGGGCCTCCCTTTTTTTTTTTTTTGAGACAGAGTCTCGTTCTGTCACCCAGGCTGGAGTGCAGTGGCATGATCTCGGCTCACTGCAACCTCTGCCTCCTGGATTCAAGCAATTCTGCCTCAGCCTCTTCCCCAGTAGCTGGGACTACAGGCACCCACCACCACGCCCAGCTAATTTTTGTATTTCTAGTAGAGACAAGGTTTCACTGTGTTGGCCAAGCTGGTCTCAAGCTCCTGACCTCATGGTCCACCTGCCTCGGCCTCCCAAAGCGTTGGGATTACAGGCGTGAGCCACCGCGCCTGGCCCCTTTCTTTCTTTCTTTCTTTGCGCCGGCTGTGCTGGCATGCCGGGCAGGAACACTTCCCTCCTTCCGCATAAGCAGAACAAATATTTGCATTCTCACTGGGGTAGATATGGCCACGGAGATGCCTTTGCTACAGTGCAGTAATGGAGCAGCCCAAATATGTGAGCTTGGGAACCGAGGCTTGTCCTTTGAACTGCAACCTACCTGGGAGGCAGGTACCCAGAGAGTAAGATTGCTCACCTGGGCGTGCCTGGGCACGTGTGAGCACATCACATTTCTTTTGTCTTCTGTTGGAAGGGATTTCTTTTCTTTTCTTTTTCTTTTTTCTTTTTTTTTTCTTTTTGAGACGGAGTCTCACTCTGTCGCCCAGGGTGGAGGGCAGTGGCGATATCTTGACTCACTGCAAGCTCTGCCTCCCAAGTTCAAGTGATTCTCCTGTCTCAGCCTCCTGAGTAGCTGGGATTACAGGTGCCCGCCATTATGCCCAGCTAATTTTTGCATTTTTGTAGAGATGGGGTTTCACCATTTTGGCCAGGCTGGTCTCGAACTCCTGACCTCAGGTGATCCGCCCACCTTGGCCTCCCAAAGTGCTGGGATTACAGGCGTGAGCCACCTCGCCCGGCCTCATTTCTTTTTTTTTTTTGAGTCTTGCTCTGTCGCCCAGGCTGGAGTGCAGTGGCACAATCTTGGCTCACTGCAACCTCCACCACCCGGGTTCAAGCAATTCTCCTGCCTCAGCCTCCCAAGTAGCTGGGATTACAGGTGCACGTCACCATGCCTGGCTAATTTTTGCATTTTTTTAGCAGGGACGGGGTTTCACCATGTTCGCCAGGCTGGTCTTGAACTCCTGATCTTGTGATCTGCCCACCTCGGCCTCCCAAAGTGCTGGGATTACAGGCGTGAGCCACCGTGCCCAGCCTCTTTTTTTTAAAACGTAGTCTTGCTCTGTTGCGCAGGCTGGAGTGCAGTGGCACGATCTCGGCTCACTGCAACCCCCGCCTGGGTTCAAGTGATTCTCCTGCCTCAGCCTCCCGAGTAGCTGGGATTACAGGCATGTTCCACCATACCTCGCTAAGTTTTTGTATTTTTGGTAGAGACGGGGTCTCACTATGTTCCCTAGGCTGGTCTGGAACTCCTGACCTCGTGATCCGCCCGCTTCGGCCTCCCAAAGTGCTGGGATGACAGGCGTGAGCCACCGCGCCTGGCCTCACTGTGACTTTTTGGTGTCCTAATGGGTATCAAGTGGTATCTCATTGTGGCTTTGATTTGAATTTCACTATGATTAATGATGTTGAGCATCTTTCCATATGCTTATTGGCCATTTGTATATCTTCTTTGGAGAAATGTCTATTCAGATCCTTTGCCCATTTAAAAAATTGGTTATTTCAAAAAATAGCTGGGCGTGGTGGCACATACCTGCAATGGGAGGTGCCGCTCGGGAGGCTGAGGTGGGAGAATGGCATGAACCCAGGAGACAGAGGTTGGAGTGGGCCGAGATCGCACCACTGCACTCCAGCCTGGGAGACAGAGCGAGACTCCATCTAAAAAAAAAAATTGGTTATTTATCTTTTTATTATTGAGATGTAGGGGTTCTTTATATGTTCTATTTTTTGTTTTTTGAATAACTGTTGGGCACTATGTTTATATATTCTAGATGCAAGCTCTTGATCTGTGATTTGTAAGAAGTTTCTCCCATTCTGTGCATTCTTTTCACTTTCTTGAACTCCTGCCCTCAAGTAATCCCGCTGCCCCAGCCTTCCAAAGTGCTGGGATGACAGGCACGAGCCACCACTCCCAGCCTGTTTTCACTTTCTTTTTTTTTTGAGATGGAGTCTCGCACTCTTGCCCAGGCTAGAGTGCAGTGGATCAATGTCAGCTCACTGCAACCTCCATCTCCCGGTTCAAGGGATTCTCCTGTCTCAGCCTCCCGAGTAGCTGGGATTACAGGCGTCCACCACCACGCCCGGCTAATTTTTTGTATTTTTAGTAGAGATAGGGTTTCCCCATGTTGGCCAGGCTGGTGTTGAACTGCTGACCTCGTGATCTGCCTGCCTCGGCCTCCCAAAGTGCGGGGATGACAGGTGTGAGCCACCGCGCCCGGCTCTCTTTTCACTTTCTTGATGCCATCCTTTGAAGCACAGAGGTTTTAAATTTTGCTGACATCCCTTACTCATTTTTAAAAGTGGGCAAAACAGGCAGCAGTGACTGCAGACAGGTATGTCGCCAAGTTCAAACTCCCTCCGCTCAGTAACAGTTAATTTGCTTGCAGGCAGGCAGGTTTGATAAAACAAAAATTATTTATTTTGGGAGGCCAAGGTGGGAGAAGAGCTTGAGGCCAGGAGTTCAAGTCTAGCCTGGGCAATATAGTGAGACCCCATCTCTACAAAAATAATTAAAGGCCGGGCGTGATGGCTGATGCCTGTAATCCCAGCACTTTGGGAGGCCAAGATAGATGGATCGCTTGAGGTCAGGAGTTCAAGACCAGCCTGGCAGCATGGTGAAACCCTATCTCTACTAACAATACAAAAATTAGCCGGGCATGGTGGTGCACACCTGTGGTCCCAGCCACACAGGACGCTGAGGCAGGAGACTCGCTTGAACTTGGGAGGTGGAGGTTGCAGAGAGCCAAGATTGCATGTCAGTGCATTCCAGCCTGGGTGACAGAGCGATACCCTGCCTCCAAAAAAAAAACCACTAGCTGGGGCATGGTGGCGTGGGCCTGTTGTCCCAGTGACTTGGGAGCTGGGGGGGGAAGATCACTTGAGCCAAGTTGGAGGCTGCAGTGAGCTATGATTGCATTACTGCACTCCCACCTGGGCAACAGAATGAGACCCTGTCTCTCTCTCTCTTTTTTTTTTTTTGACACAGAGTCTCGCTCTGTCACCCAGGCTGGAGTGCAGTGGCGCAGTGTCGGCTCACTGCAAGCTCCGCCTCCCGGGTTCAAGCCATTTTCCTGCCTCAGCCTCCCAAGTAGCTGGGATTATAGGCGCCTGCCACCACATCCGGCTAATTTTTGTATTTTTAGTAGAGACAGGGTTTCGCCATGTTTGCCAGGCTGATCTCGAATTCCTGACCTCAGGTGATCTGCCCCCCTTGTCTCTCTCTCTTTTTTTTAACTTTAAAAAGATACAGAGGCAGGGTTTCGCCATGTTGTCCAGGCTGGTCTTAAACTCTGAGGTCAAAGGCAGCACTCTGGGATTGCAGGCGTGAGCCACTGCGTCCAGCAGATCCTGTCTCTTAAAACAAGAAAAAAAGGTTGGGCGCGGTGGCTCACGCCTGTAATCCCAGCACTTTGGGAGGCCAAGGCGGGCGGATCACGAGGTCAGGAGATCCAGACCATCCTGGCTAACGTGGTGAAACCCCGTCTCTACTGAAAATACAAAAAAATTAGCCGGGTGTGGTGGCGGGCGCCTATAGTCCCAGCTACACGGGAGGCTGAGGCAGGAGAATGGCGTGAACCTGGGAGGCGGAGCTTGCAGTGAGCCGAGATAGAGCCACTGCAGTACAGCCTGGGCGAAAGAGCGAGACTCCGTCTCAAAAAAAAAAAAAAAGAAAGAAAGAAAGAAAAAGATTCAAGACAAATGGGGAGTGGTGGGGAGGGTGGAGGGGACATAGATTAAGTCCCCATAAGCAGCCTGAATTTAATGAAATAGGTTGGCATGGCTATCCAGAGGGCAGCCCCCAAGGCCAGGGACGCTGGGTGTGGACAGGAAAGGTTTGCTACACACAGTGTGATGTCTCTTGAGGTTAGAGAACCTGTGCCTCTTTGGGAGGATGTAGTTTGCCCTAGGCCTGGATTTCGGTAGAATGAGCAAGAGTTAGCCTTGAAGTCCTGTTCAGGTGGGCCCCCTCTTGCCCTGTACCCAGAATGAGCTGATGTGAGATGCCGAGAGTGGCTTCGTTGGGAAGAGAGCCCGGACCTTGCTTCCCGTTGGCCTTCCAGGATGCTAACTGCTCGGGCCGAACATCCTGTGGGAAGATAATCCCCTGCTTGTACTGAGAAATTCAGAAGCAGGAGGCCGGGCGCGGTGGCTCACGCCTGTAGTCCCAGCACTTTGGGAGGCCGAGGCGGGCGGATCACTTGAGATCAGCCTGGCCAACATGGTGAAACCCCGTCTCTACTAAAAATACAAAAATTAGCCAGGCATGGTGGCGGGCATCTCTAATCTCGCGACTTGGGAGGCTGAGGCAGGAGAATCACTTGAACCAGGGAGGCGGAGGTTGCAACGAGCCGAGCTCACACCACTGCGCTCCAGCCTGGGGAACAAGAGCAAAACCCCATCTCAAAACAAAGAAAAGAAATTCAGAAGCAGGAATCCTGGGCCAGCTTCATCCTCAGACCGAAGAGAACTGTAGAATTCTGATTGACATCTTCCAAAAACCTACCCTCTCCAAACCAAAAGCAGTTTTTGCTGACATCTGGTCTTTCTGGAATGCTGATATTTTTATTTATAAAATGATGCTATTATCCCCAAATAGATTCTTATTTTTAACAGGCTTTCTCCCTTTGAGGGCTGCCTGAGGCTCATAACTTTGTTCTCTGGCATCTCAGTGTTACCCTGAAAAGACAAGAAGGCTCCTGGGCTCTGCCAGGAGCAGAGAGATAGGGAGGGTTGCCAGCCGGAAAGTCAGACAACTGCTTGTATTCTGCATTACCTCCCTCCTTGGCCCCATCAGCCTCAGTCCATGAAGGAGAAACCTTCAGTGAGCGGTCATTGCCCCTGAACTAATGCCCCTGTGAGTCACACAGGAAGGGGCGCAGGTGAAGAAGGGGCCTCATGGGGCCTAGTTCTCTGTCCCCTCCTCCTCCCCTTCCCTGGTGCATCCTCCCCACTGAGGTTTCTCTGCTTCTTATCTCTCAGCTGCCCAACATGTTCGGCGACCTTCGGTCCACGTTTATTGCCTTGATGATTGGGTCCTACGCCTCCTCGGCAGTCACCTTTCCAGGAATCAAGGTGAGCACGTGTATTTTGCACTGGTGTCTGTGCAGAGGCCTGCTCCAGGCTCCTTCCACCCTCTCTGAAGAGGGAGGCAATTGTGGGCACCCGGGGTGGCCCCTCTCCACCACCCCCACCCGGGCAGGATGCACCTGGGCATCACAGGGGCGACAAATGAAAACCGCGGGGCCTCAGGGGACGGGAATCACGCATGTGGCTGCAGGATCTGCCGCAGGTGCCTTTGCATTTCGGGGCTGGGGCAGGGGAAGGGCGGTGGGTGAGTCTGTTTCCAGTTGTGAGTCTTGCCCCCGTCTCCTCCGTCATCCTGGTCTCCCGCTGCTCCCCTGCTCCCCAACCCCCAGCCTGCTGTTATTGTACCGTTACTCCCCGCCAGCCAAAGCACTGCTCTTGGCCAAGTGTTTCAGCTGTTTCCCTCCTAGGCAGGATTTTGAGCCTGTGGAAGTCACACAGGGTCAGGACGAAGCAAACACCTCACAGTCCATCAGCCCAAGTTCCCCAGACCCTGTGGGTCTGCCAGGGCCCCGTAGGGGCTTCTCCCACCTCTGACCCTCACACTAAGTAAAAGCCCCTTTCCTCGGTGGTGTGTGTGGGAATGCTGTTGGCGAGGAGAGGGGGACACGGTGTGGGCTGGCCACCTGGGCATTGAAGTGGTGGGAGCTGGGACTCTGGGGCCAGCCATCCTATGGACTTGCAGAGATTCTCATGCCCCTGGACTGGGGAGCATCCCGAAAGTTCTTCCTCCTCCTTTTTTTGGGGGGGAACAGGGTCTTGCTCTGTCGCCCAGGTTGGAGTGCAGCAGCACGATCTCGGCTCACTGCAACCTCCACCTCCCAGGTTCAAGTGATTCTCCTGCCTCAGCCTCCCAAGGAGCTAGGATTACAGGTGCCCGCCACCATGCCCGGCTAATTTTTGTATTTTTAGTAGAGATGGGGTTTCACCATGTTGGTCAGGCTGGCCTGGAACTCCTGACCTCATGATCCGCCCACTTTGGCCTCCCAAAGTGCTGGGATTACAGGCGTGAGCCACCATGCCTGGCTTCCTTGAGCATTTCTTTGGCCTCTGCCATGTGAGCTCTCAGAGGCACTGGGGAAGCATCAGTGGACGGGGCTGGCCGGTTCCCGCCTTCAGGGAGCTCCGCTAATACCAGACAAGCCGACGGACCAGGAGCACCGTCCCCTCTGCTGGGCCGATCACTATGAGCCTGCAAGACGTGCCGTGGTCATGGCGGGGCGGTCAGGAAGGCCTCCGAGTCGGGGGGCTAATCACACGCCAGGCCCAGATGACCAGCAGGGCAGGCACGGTGGGAGGACTGGAAGGCGGGTGCCTGATGCCCCAACGCCCAGGCTGGCAGGGCTGTGCCTCTTTGCGCGGCTCAGCACAGGGACAGCAGGGGTGGCCAGACGCCCCTGCCTGCTGCGGCTCTGGCCTCCCCGGGCTAACTCTGCCCCCTCCCCCCCCCACCCCGTCCCCGCGGTGCCTGTCAGCTCATCTATGATGCTGGTGTCTCCTTCATCGTCGTCCTCGTGGTCTGGGCCGGCTGCTCCGGGCTGGTTTTCCTCAACTGCTTCTTTAACTGGCCCCTTGAGCCCTTCCCGGGGCCGGAGGACATGGACTACTCGTAAGTAGAGGTGCCCCCGTCCCGCCTGCCCCCAGCCCCCGCCCCCCAGCCGGGGTCCCGGGCAGCACCCACAGACACTCTCCCGGGGCCCCAGGGTGAAGATCAAGTTCAGCTGGCTGGGCTTTGACCACAAGATCACAGGGAAGCAGTTCTACAAGCAGGTGACCACGGTGGGCCGGCGCCTGAGTGTGGGCAGCTCCATGAGGAGTGCCAAGGAGCAGGTGGCGCTGCAGGAGGGCCACAAGCTGTGCCTGTCCACCGTCGACCTGGAGGTGAAGTGCCAGCCGGATGCCGCAGGTACCCGCCTGAGACCGCAGCCGGGCGACGGGCAGGGAGTGCTCTGTGGGTATCGGCTCACCCCATTCCCACCTCACCCCAAAAGGGGAGGCGGCCCCGCCCGCCCTGTTCTGCAGAGGCGCTCAGGAAGGCCTGGGGGAGGGAAAGGGATTTGCCTGATTTCACCCAAGAGGTGACCCCACCGCAGCGCCAACCCCGTTACCCTCACCAGGCCCGTCCCGAGGGCCCCCTCCTGGCCTCCAGCGTGGAGGGATCTGCGTGTCCCCCCGGTGGTGGGGACAGTGTGCCCCGGCCCTGAGCCCCGCACCCTCTCCCTGCAGTGGCCCCCTCCTTCATGCACAGCGTGTTCAGCCCCATCCTGCTGCTCAGCCTGGTCACCATGTGCGTCACGCAGCTGCGGCTCATCTTCTACATGGGGGCTATGAACAACATCCTCAAGTTCCTGGTCAGCGGCGACCAGAAGACAGGTAGGTGCCCCGGGCAGCCTCGGTCGCTGTCACTCCCCGGCCTGAGCCCAGCCCACTGGCCACCGGCCAGAATGTGTTAAGCTGAGCCGGGCCAGCCGGGCCATGGAAAGGCCGCATCCCAGGAGCTGTCTGCCCGTCAGAGCTATTGCATCACTGCCAGCCCCAACTGTTTCTTCGTGTCCCCATCAGGGTTTCCTGGTCCAGGAGGGAGGGAAGGACCAAAATAGCCTCCTGGGTGTGGGGTGTGGGGTGTGTGTTTTCCAGTGCCTGAGGGGGAGGGTTGCCGTGTGTGTCTGTAAATGAAAACAGAACAGAACGCTCCACCTGAGCATGGCTGAAAGACAGCAGGTCAAGCCCAAAGTCCTCCCAGAAAGTGGCACGGTGGGTGCGTGGACACCCTGGGCATCGAGGTCAGGACGGGGCTGGAGACGCTGGGGCAACTGGCCCACACTGGGATCTGCATCCCTCACCGAGAAACAGGGCAGGGCAGAGACTTCCTCGGAGCTTGCGAACAGTTGAGGCTTGTCAGCTCCAACAAACACAGCTGATAACCCACAGTCCACTTTTCCAAACAGGGCAGGTCTTCAGCTGATTAGAGGTTTTGATTCTACAGAGAAAGTCAGGACTTCCCCGGGGCCTGAGCTGAGTCAGCCTTAGTCATCCCCAGGCGGGACAAACACTCCAAATCCTTTTTATTGGCAGCCTCCCTGGTGTGCCACTTTTTCCGATGGTTTCCTTGTTTTTATCAAGGTGAAGATACCCTAGGACTTGTGAAGAATCAGTTATCAGGTTTTTAGGGGATGAGAAATCCAGCTTTATCAAAAGGAAAAGATAGCAAAGGGAACCAGATAACAGCCAGTTCTACTGTGAAAATGGTAGTCTAGGCCAGGCACGGTGGCTCACGCCTGTAATCCTAGCCCTTTTGGAGGCTGAGGCAGGTGGATCATGAGGTCAGGAGTTCAAGACCAGCCTGGCCAAGATTGTGAAACCCCCATCTCTACTAAAAATACAAAAAATTAGCCAGGCGTGGTGGTGGGCCCCTGTAATCCCTGCTACTTGGAAGGCTGAAGCAGAGAATTGCTTGAACCCAGGAGGTGGAGGTTGCAGTGAGCCGAGATTGCGCCACTGCACTCCAGCCTGGGCGACAGAGTGCGACTCCATCTCAAAAGAAAAAAAAATATCTGTGGAACACACTTTGGGGAACCCTAATCTATCATGTCTCTTTCTTTCTTGTTTTTTTGAGGCAGGGTCTCTTTCTGCGTTGCTTAGGCTGGAGTGCAGTGATGTGAACGCTGCAGCCTTGACCTCTTAGGGCTCCCCAGGTGCGCGCCACCACACCCAGCTAATTTTTAAATTCTTTGCAGAGATAGGGTCTTGCTGTGTTGCCCAGGTTGGTGTCGAACTCCTGGGCTCAAGGGATCCTCCCCTCTTGGCCTCCCAAAGTGCTGGGATTACAGGCGTAAACCTCCACACCCAGCCTGATAAACATTCAGCCCTGGAGTGGCGGAAACCCCAAAGTGTGCAGAGAGAGCTGGTCCCTGGCCCTCGAAAGGCTCATCTCCCTGCTGCTGAGTCAGCGTCTTTTACTCAAGCTGTCTGAGAAATCTTTTGCTGCCCAGGAGGAATGTTTCCAACTGTTTCGTATGTTCAAAAAGTCAATTTCAAGAAGTAGAGGAAGCCAGGCCAGGAAGGTTGGTCTGTGGCAGACGAGGCACTGGTTTTCCCCCTCCTCCTTCTGTGACCCGTTACACCCAACACCCATAGCCCTAGCTCCGGCCGAGAGGCAGCTGCAGGGTCCGGGTCACTTTCCGCACACTCGTGAGCTTTGCGGCTCCGCAGGAGGGGGTGTGCCGTGCTGCTGAGGAACGGCTCAAAGCACCAGAGCCATCGCCTCCGCGTACGGCCCCGCGACCACCCGCGGCAGAGGCTCCCGGGTGCTGGTTCCGAATGGAGACTCCAGGCCTTGCCGCTGACCGGTGACTCTGCTGCCTCCCAGCGTTTGAGACCCGCCATCAAACAGGAGTTGCGGATTCAGGGAAACCCTAACTAGCCAGGGTGCTGGCAGCTGGGAAAAGGCCGCCTTTTTTTTTTTTTTTTTTTTTTTGAGTTGGGGTCTTGCTCTGCCACCCAGGCTGGAGTGCAGTGGTGCAACTGATAGCTCACCACGGCCTCCGACTCCTGAGCTCAAGGGATCCTCCCACCTCGGCCTCCTAAGTATCTGGGACTACAGGTGTGTGCCACCATGCCTGGCTAATTTGTTTTTTTTTTTTTTCCATAAAGACAAGGTCTTGCTATTTTTCCCAGGCTGGTCTCAAACTCCTGGGCTCAAGCAGTTCTCCCACCTCAGCCTCCCAAAGTGCTGAGATTATAGGCATGAGCCACAATGCCCAGCCAAAAATACAGTCTTTTTTTTTTGACATGGATTTTCGCTCTTGTCACCCGGGCTGGAGCACAGTGGCATGAGCTCGGCTCACTGCAACCTCCGCCTCTCGGGTTCAAGCGATTGTTCTGCCTCAGCCTCCCAAGTAGCTGGGGTTACAGGCACCTGCCACCATGCCCAGCTAATTTTTGTATTTTTAGTAGAGACGGAGTTTCACCATGTCTCCAACTCCTGACTTCAAGTGATCCACGTGCCTCAGCCTCCCAAAGTGCTGAGATTACAGGCGTGAGCCACGATGCCCAGCCAAAAAGCCAGTCTTGAGATGGGGAAGACGTGGCCCATGCTGTCCTCAGCAGTGCCCAGTCCCAGCCAAAGTGGGCACTGCTGCCTCACTCTCCCACCCACCCTCAGGGTGTGGCACTTACTGGGAAGAAGCAGGCATTGAGAAACAGAATTAAGGGGGGAAAACAGTCCAGGGCCAACAGTGCTTGGGGATTGAGGCCTGAAAATGGGAGCAGGGTACAGAGGCTGTGGCTGGCCAGATGGGTCGGGTGCCCCCTGCACCCCCACCCCCTAGTCAGGGGCCACCTGTCCTACCCTCCCTTTGTAAGAGTTGACAGGTGACATGTTTTCCTATTGTTGTCCTTGACTTGATAACAATCTAGGAGTTAAATAGATACTATCATCTGTTTACGTCATCATTTATGATAGATACTATCATCATATACACCTGAAAAACGAGGCCTGGAGTGATGGAGGAGCTTGTTCAAGGTCAGAGCCAGCACTCACATATGGGTCTTAAGACACTGGAGCAGCCAAGGGCCTCTAGACCAGGACATTCCACTCGGAGCAGCAGCTCAGGGGCCACCAGGCCTCTGTGGCAGGGGGGCCATGGCCCAAGGAAGGGGAGCAGGCCCAGGCATGGTCCCCGTTTCTTGGAGTGGAAGGGAGACCAGCTCTGGCCATCTGGAGGAGACCCATGGTGTCAGATGCCTTGGCTGGGCATCAGGGGCAGGTTCTTTGACCTTTCCCTCTCTCTGAGCACAGCAGGAGGTAGATGTGACAGAGCCGCTTCCCGCAGGCAGTGTGGTGACAGGGACCCTGATTGCACCAGGTCTTCCGCATGCCCGCCACTTCCCCATCACGCTACCCGCCAACGTCACAGGCCTGATTCACCAGTCCGCCTGTGACCCGGCACCAGCAGACAGGAGAATGTCAGCAGGGGCCCGGGCTGGGCATTGTCCCAAGTCCACTTCCAGAGGCCTGGCTGCAGCTCTGCCTCCCCTGAGCGCCCCGAGTCACGCTTAGTGGGAAATGCAGTGCGGGAAACGCAGTGTGGGAAATGCAGTGCGTGCTGGGCATGGAGTGAGCCTGCCTCCTCTCCCATCTCTCTGTAGCACTGAGATTTCTGCCACTAACCTCTCTTCTTTCTGCTTTTTCACTTTTGCTTTCTTGATGCAGTGATGGCCACGGGTAAGCGGGGGGTGGGGGGGATTGTCAGGGAATGCTGTGATGTCCCCTCCCAGCCAGTCTCTGTTCAACCCAGAAGCTCCTCACCTCAAGCTCCAGACATGCCTCCTGGCTAGAGCCGTGGGGGTAAAACTGGGGCAATCAACATTCCTCGTCTGCTTCCCTGGAAAATCCACTGTCATTTTAAGTCTTTGAATATGGAAGCCCTGACATCAGAGCCCCGTGAGCGGTGCCTTTCTGGGATATTTCTTTTTTTTTTGAGATGGAGTCTTGCTCTGTTGCCCAGGGTGGAGTGCAGAGGCATGATCTTGGCTCACTGCAACCTTCACCTCCCGGGTTCAAGTGATTCTCCTTGTAGCCTCCTGAGTAGCTGGGGTTACAGGTGCCTGCCACCACGCCCAGCTAGTTTTTGTATTTTTAGTAGAGACGGGGTTTCACTGTGTTGGTCAGTCTGGTCTCGAACTCCTGACCTCGTGATCCGCCCACCTCGGGCTCCCAAAGTGCTGGGATTACAGGCATGAGCCACCGCGCCCAGCCGTTCTGGGCTATTTCTAGAGACAGAAACTAACGGCCCGTCACTTAGCCTCCGTCACAGGAGTTCCCAAGTTATAGCGACTTCCTGGAGCTCTGGGAAGGCCATTGTGACACTCTGGGTTTCATTAGCTGTTTCTTAGAAACAAGCAGGGGATTTGGAACCGAGAAGAAGGTGACCTGCCCCGTGCTCCATCCTCAACTTCAGAGTTAAGGTCTCCGGGCTCCTCGCAAGACCCATAGTGACAGGGGGTTCTGGGGCAGACCCCAGAAGAGCCTGTGGGGACCAGCCCCTTCCCAGCTGGTGCCCAGTCCCTGCTCCAGGGCTGTCTGCCAGGCGTCCCCATGACGCAGCGCCTTCCTCCACAGTTGGCCTCTACACCTCCATCTTCGGCGTGCTCCAGCTGCTGTGCCTGCTGACGGCCCCCGTCATTGGCTACATCATGGACTGGAGGCTGAAGGAGTGTGAAGACGCCTCCGAGGAGCCCGAGGAGAAAGACGCCAACCAGTGCGTAGGCAGGGCCGGTGCCCCGGCTCCCAGCCCGCAGCCCCTGCAGAAAGACCCCAGAGCTGCATGTCAGGCACAGGGTGGGTGGGACAGAGGGAGAGAGCAATGCACTCCAGCTGCTCCCGGAGCCCTTAGAGAGACTCACTCATTCAGCTCAGCATGCGTTTCAACTGCTCCCCTCTTTATGGAAATTGTTTGGAATGCAATGGAAATGCTAAAGTTTGAGGCCAGGTGCGGTGACTCATGCCTGTAATCCCAGCACTTTGAAAGGCTGGGGTAGGAAGATCACTTGAGGCCAGGAGTTGGAGACCAGCCTGGGAAACATGGCCAGCCCCCACTCCCCGTCTCTACAAAAAATTTAAAAATTGGCCAGGGAGGGTGGTTCATGCCTATAATACCAACACTTTGGAAGGTTGAGGTGAGTGAATTGCTTGAGCCCAGGAGTTAGTGACCAGCCTGGCCAATGTGGTAAAACCCGGTCTCTACTAAAAATACAAAAAATTAGCCAGGTGCGGTGGCGGCGCGCGCCTGTAATCCCAGCTACTCAGGAGGCTGAGGCGCGAGAATTGCTTGAACCCGGGAGGTGGAGGTTGCAGTGAGCCGAGATCACGCCATTGCACTTCCAGCCTGGGCAACAGAGCAAGACTGTCTCAAAAAGAAAAAACAATAAAGAAGAAGCATTGAGTAAGAAGGAAGAAAAAGAGACACAGGTGAAAGTGTACAGACAATGGCTAGCAGACCATTTTGCTCCTAAGACCACCCTCCCTCCACCCCTTGGCAGTGGCTACACCATCTTAAAGCCTCCCAAAGTACTGGGATTAACAGGTATGAGGCACCGCGCCCGGCTCAGATGGTGACTTTCATTCATTGCATTCAATCATGCAGCCCACCAACCCTTTGTTATCTGCCTGCAAGGTTTATTCCGGTCAGTTTGAGTAGTGAGTTGCTATAAACATATTATGTGTTAATAGAGTTGTTCATGATTGTGAAGATTAAACAAGGTACTGGAGTCCTACTTTATGTAAGGGATGGGCTCCAAGATCAGAGGATGAGTTAAACGCTGTTTTCTTTTTTCTTTTTCTTTTTTTTTTTTGAGACGGAGTCTCGCTCTGTCGCCCAGGCTGGAGTGCAGTGGCTCTATCTCGGCTCACTGCAACCTCCGCCTCCCGGGTTCACACCATTCTCCTGCCTCAGGCTTCCAAGTATCTGGGACTACAGGCGCCCGCCACCACGCCCGGCTAATTTTTTTAATATATATTTTTAGTAGAGACAGGGGTTTCACAGTGTTAGACAAGATGGTCTTGATCTCCTGATCTTGTGATCCGCTTGCCTCGGCCTCCCAGAGTGCTGGGATTACAGGCATAAGCCACCACGCCCAGCCAAACGCTGTTTTCCATGGCTCCACACCTTAATATAATAAGCTACGGTTTATTGCCTGAGGCCCTCCACCGAGGACTCCATGCACAGTATCTCAGTGAAGACTCCCAGCACCCTGGCGAAGTGGGGACCAGTGTTATACCCATTTTACAGATGAGGGAGCTGAGGCTGGGACTTGCAGTAGTTTGCCTAGGGCCGCACAGTTAGGAAGTGGTGGGCCTGGGACTCCCTGCACATCTGTGAGCACCTGGGGTCCGTTCTTGGATCATCCAGGGTGTCTGCGTGGGTGTGAGACTGGGATCGGTAATCGTTCATTCACGAGAGATAATTGCAGAGGGTGCTTGGCCGGGCGCGGTGGCTCACACCTGTAATCCCAGCACTTTGGGAGGCCAAGGCGGGTGGATCACAAGGTCAGAAGATCGAGACCATCCTGGCTAACATGGTGAAACCCTGTCTCTACAAAAACGCAAAAATTAGCCGGGTAAGGTGGCGCGTGCCTGTAGTCCCAGCTACTCGGGAGGCTGAGGCAGGAGAATCGCTTGAACCCAGGAGGCAGAGGTGGCAATGAGCCGAGATCACACCACTGCACTCCAGCCCGGGTGACAGAGCGAGACTCCATCTCAAAAAAAAACCCAAAGAACAAAAAAACAAAACAAAACAAAACAAAAAACAGTGCTGTGCTATCTAGGTCAGGTCCTGCAGCCAAGAGGTTATTTGTGTCCACTCCAGTTCCATCTGCTGCCTGCTCATTTCCCCTTTACCCTCTCCTGTCCCCACAAGGGGAAACCCATTCACTCCCCTATTTGGCTTGTATCTGGCTTCTTATCAGCGTCCTGCAAGATTTGGGTGAACTTGAAGCCAGTGGTGAAGTGAGGCTTTGCCATGTGCCAGCTCAGGCACACGCTGCTACTTCTCTCCCCGTCGTCTTAGCTCAGCCTTCACAGAGCACTGCAGCATATGGATGGCCATCTTCTTGTACCCGAGACCCCCTCCGAGAGTCACACTCAGCTTGCCACTGAGAAGGGCCGGGGAGTGTCCGTAGTGCTGGTCCAGCCCCGACACAGTCCCTAAAACGTGCCTGGGTGGCTTCTGAGTCTTGCGTCAGTTTACCTGCTGCGACGCTTGAGGCCTGACTTCTCAGGAGCACCCGGCTTCCTCCGGGGAGCCCTCCCACCCCTGCACGTTCTGTGTCTCCACAGAGGCGAGAAGAAAAAGAAGAAGCGGGACCGGCAGATCCAGAAGATCACTAATGCCATGCGGGCCTTCGCCTTCACCAACCTGCTGCTCGTGGGCTTTGGGGTGACCTGCCTCATTCCCAACCTGCCTCTCCAGGTGGGTGTGGGGAGTGGGAGGGGCAGGTGGGAGGTGGGGCAGTCAGAAGGAACATGTAAAGACTCAAAAGTGTGTAATGTTTCATGGAAGCCATCAACAAAGCGGATGACTTTCTTTATTTTTTTGAGACAGAGTCAAACTCTGTTGCTCAGGCTGGAGTGCAGTGGTGTGATCTCGGCTCACTGCAACCTCAGCCTCCTGGGTTCAAGCGATTCTCCTGCCTCAGCCTCCCGAGTAGCTGGGATTACAGGTGCGCACCATCACGCCCAGCTAATTTTTGTATTTTCAGTAGAGATGGGGTTTTGCCATGTTGGCCAGGCTAGTCTCGAACTCCTGACCTCAGGCGATCCACCCGCCTTGGCCTCCCAAAGTGCTGGGATTTTACAGGTGTGAGGCACCGTGCCCAGCTCAGATGATGACTTTCATTCATTCCACTCAACCGAGCAGCCCACCAGCCCTTTGTTATTTGCGGAGGGCCTGTTCCCTGCCAGGCTCTGTGCTTGCTGCTGCAGGTGAGCTGGACACCTGGATTGTCTTCTGCAAAGGGACTCCTCCCCGGAAGGCATGTCTTGGTTTTGGGGGCGTCTTGCATAACCGTGGATACCACCATCATGCCATTTCCCGGAAGTGTGTGGGGTCGCTGTAGAGTTCCTTGTTTTGTATCGGCTCAAGCAGCTGGAATCTGACGTCCAAAGAGATCTGGCCAATCTGTGGTGTTGGTGGGAGCATCTGCTCCCCTGTCACCAGAGTCTCACGGGGTTTCTACACTGAACAGAGTGGAGGAAGACCTTGATGGTGGCTTCATATCTGGATTCAAAAGCTTCATTCCAGGCCGGTGGCTCATGCCTGTAATCTCAACACTTTGGTAGGTGGAGGCAGGTGGATTGCTTGAGCTCAGGAGTTTGAGACCAGCCTGGGCGACTTGGTGAAACCCTGTCTCTACAGAAAATATAAAAGTTAGCTGGGCATGGTGGCACACTCCTGTAATCCCAGCTACTCGGGAGGCTGAGGCAGGAGAATCATTTGAACCTGGGAGGCGGAGGTTGCAGTGAACTGAGATCGCGCCACTGCACTCCAGCCTGGATGACAGAGTGAGACTCTGTCTCAGAAAAAAAAACCAAAAAAAACCAAAACACTTTGGGAGGCTGAGGCAGGTGGATCACGAGGTCAGGAGTTTGAGACTAGCCTATCCAAAATGGTGAAACCCCGTCTCTACTAAAATTACAAAAATTAGCTGGGCGTGGTGGCACATGCCTGTAATCCCAGCTACTCAGGAGGGCTGAGGCAGGAGAATTGCTTGAATCCGGGTGGCAGAGGTTGCAGTGAGCCGAGATTGCGCCACTGCACTCCAGCCTGGGCGACAGAGTGAGGCTGTGTCTCAAAAAAAAAAAAAAAAACTGAATTTCTTTGCCAAACTTTTGAGGCTTCTGGAACCTGATTTTTGACAGAGATTTTGAGTAAGGTGGCCCTTGTCACCTGCCTGGCTCCACCCACTGGTCTGTGAAAGTGGTCTAGCAGTAGGTTTTGGCCCAATCCCTAAATTTACAAATGGTGGAGGGACGCAAGTGTGGCTTTTCCTTCCAGAGAGGTGTAGCCTGAGTCCAGATGGCATCTTGGGTCAAGTCCAGGAGGGAAGTAAGAGTCCCTCCCTTTTTACAGGAGGCCTTGAGGTACGTTGAACACCCAGGTGTGCCCCACCGTGGGAACTGTTGTGTGTACGTGCCAACACTGGGCGTGCAGAGCGCAGCGGGCCGTGGAACATTTGTGCCGGCCCCAGGGGGTGCTGCATCCCTCCGGCCCTCCCTGGCCTCCTGGGCTGCTTTCTCTGCAAGACTGGCAGACCTTTGCCCTAACCGCCTTGTCCAGTCGAGGGGCAGTGCTCAGTGGGGACAGTCATCTTTTTGTTTTATGTAGGTCTCACTGAAAGAAAAGTTGTAAAAAGGCAACAAGGCATTTGAGGTGGGGAGGCCTGCACAGCGTGCGTGTGTGTGTGTGTGTGTGGGCACTGGGCACAGCCCTCTTTCAACACTGCCAAGAGCAGCCCCTGCCCCCCCACCACCCACATTCCTGGGAACAGGTCCTGGCTGCTGAGCGGGATGGCAGGGCTGTGTACAGAAGACAAGGCGACCACAGGGACCTGGTGGCCAAGAGGATGGCTCTTAAAAAGTGCCTCTCGGAGTTGGCGGAGTCCGCCAGCAGCAGCCTTCCTGGGCAGGGGGCCTCCCACAGACAGCGACAGAACTTTACTAGGACCAGCCTGGGCAATATGGCGACACCCTGTCTCTACTAAAAATAAAAATTAGCCAGGTGTTGTGGAGTGCACCTGTAGTCCCAGCTACTCAGGAGGCTGAGGTGGGAGAATCTCGGCTCACTGCACCCCGGGAAGTTGAGGCTGCAGTGAACTGAGATTGCACCAGTGCACTCCAGCCTGGGCAACCGGAGTGAGACCTTGTCTCAAAAAAAAAAAAAAAAAAATTAGCCGGGCCTGGTGGCACATGCCTGTAATCCCAGCTACTCAGGAGGCTGAGGGAGAACAATCGCTTGAACCCAGGAGACAGAGGTTGCAGTGAGCCGAGACCACACCACTGCACTCCAGCCTGGGGTGTAGAGCGAGACCGTCCCAAAACAAAACCAAACAAAACAGAACAAACCACAAAAAGAAAACAAAACAAAAAGCGAAGAAACACTTCACGAGGGAGGTGAGAGGGCAGCCACCTGCTGGGAGGGCCGGGTGACCAGGCTTGGGAGACCCTGGAGCACAGTCCGAGGTGGGCAAAGGCAGCTCGAGGCCGTGGTCAGCAACCTCTTGCTCAGTGCTGTGCCCATACACGTCTGTCAGCAGGGCCCTGGTTCTAGTGTTTGCCGACTTCCACGGTGCACATGCACTCACCGTGGCTGATTTCCAGCTGCCCATGTGTTGCCACTGACTGTGGAACTGGAGAGTCACAGTGACACGTGGTATTTCTACAGTAGATGTGAAAAGCCTGGCCGGGCACGGTGGCTCACGCCTGTAATCCCAGCACTTTGGGAGGCCAACGCGGGTGGATCACCTGAGGTCAGGAGTTCGAGACCAGCCTAGTGAAACCCCGTCTCTACAAAAAATACAAAAATTAGCCGGGCTTGGTGGCATGCACCTGTAATCCCAGCTACTAGGGAGGCTGAGGCAGGAGAATTGCTTGAATCCAGGAGGCGGAGCTTGCAGTGAGCCGTGCCACTGCATTCCAGCCTGGGCTACACAGCAAGACTCTGTCTCCAAAAAAAAAAAAAGGAAAGCCTGATGCGTGCACAGGCTCTAGTGAACCAAGTAAAATAATTAGGAAGGGATGAGGTTTTCCATGGTTTTGTTCGTTCATTTTGTTTTTTTTTGAGACAGGGTCTCACTCCCATCAGCCAGGCTCGAGTGCAGTGGTGGGATCTTGGCTCACTGCAGCCTTGACTTCCCGAGCTCAGGTGATCCTCCCACCTCAGCCTCCTGAGTAGCTGGGACTACGGGCACGTACCACCAAGCCCAGTTAATTTTTATATTTTTTTGCAGAGATGGGGTCTTGACATGTTGCCCAGGCTGGTCTGGAACTCCTGGGCTCAAGTGATCCTCCCAGGCCTCCCAGAGTGTGGGGATTACAGGTGTGAGCCACTGCACCAGGCCAGGAAGTGATGAGTTTTCAGAGTTTTGAGTATTCATTACCTTTACTTTAATATAATTTATTTATTTAGTCATAAATTTATGTAATTTTTTTTTTTTTGAGACAGAGTCTAGCTCTGTCACCCAGGCTGGAGTGCAGTGGTGCTATCTCGGCTCACCGCAACCTCCGCCTCCCCGGTTCAAGCGATTCTCCTGCCTCACCCTCCTGAGTAGCTGGGAATACAGGCGCCCGCCACCACACCCGGCTAATTTTTGTATTTTTAGTAAAGATGGGGTTTCACTGTGTTGGCCAGGCTGATCTCAAACTCCTGACCTCATATGATCCACCCACCTCAGCCTCCCAAAGTGCTGGGACTACAGGTGTGAGCCACCATTCTCGGCTTATAATTTAATTATTATTATTATTATTATTTTTTTTTTTTGAGACAGAGTCTCACTTTGTCACCAGGCTGGAGTGCAATGCCGTGATCTCAGCTCACTGCAACCTCCACCTCTTGGTTCAAGCGATTCTCCTGCCTCAACTTCCCAAGCAGCTGAGATTACAGGTGCCCACCACCACGCCCAGCTAATTTTTTGTATTTTTAGTA
This sequence comes from Homo sapiens, assembly GCF_000001405.40. NCBI lineage: Eukaryota > Metazoa > Chordata > Mammalia > Primates > Hominidae > Homo > Homo sapiens. The sequence continues at coordinate 1,578,973 of NC_000017.11, read as the reverse complement.
AAGACAGGGTTTCGCCATGTTGGCCAGGCTGGTTTCGAACTCCTGACCTCAGGTGATCCACCTCCTCGGCCTCCCAAAGCACTGGGATTACGGGCGTGAGCCACCTTGCCCAGCCTATAATTTAATTTTTAATAATGACTCGGTTAGGCTGGGCGCAGTGGCTCATGCCTGTAATCCCATCATTTTGGGAGGCTGAGGCGGGTGGATCACAACGTCATGAGTTTGAGACCAGCCGGGCCAACATGGTGAAACCCCATCTCTGCTTAAAAAATACAAAAATTAGCCGGGCATGGTGGCGTGGGCCTGTAATCCTAGCTACTCCGAAGGCTGAGGCAGGAGAATTGCTTGAATCCAGGAGGCGAAGCTTGCAGTGAGCCAAGATCACGCCACTGCACTCCAGCCTGGGCGACAAAGCAAGACTTCTTCTCAAACAAAACAAAAAACAAAACAAACAAACAAACAAAAAATGACTGTGTTAACGACTGGCTTGCAAAATTTCTGAAAATTCACAATTGGCTCCGGAGGATGGGGTTGATCCAACTCCAGGCTGACACTGCCCCTGGGGTGAGGGCCCCCAGGAATTGGAGGGCGGGGGCTGAGGGGACGGTCCCTTAAGGCCTTATGCCCACAGTCGCCTTTTCCTCCCCCAGATCCTCTCCTTCATCCTGCACACAATCGTGCGAGGATTCATCCACTCCGCTGTCGGGGGCCTGTACGCTGCCGTGTAAGTCCTGGAAGCCGCAGGTGGCCTGGTGGGCGAGGGTGTGGGAATGGCCGGGGGGAGGTTGCTGGTGGGACTGAGACTCTGAGGCAGGGTCAGCCTGTCCCAGAAGGGCTCATCTTCCTGCTTCAGGGGACAGGTACCAGGGTTTCTGCTGGGTGTTTCAGGGAAAGGCCATACCTCGTGGGAAGCAGGTCAGTGGGCAGACAGTTGGGTGCTCACAAGCCTTGGCATTCAACACGAAGTCAGTTCCCCCAGCCAGGGTCAGGCACCTGTGCAGCTCATTATGGCCTCAGGGGCCACTACAGCCGAGTCCTGGGGCTGGCCCTGGCTGCTCACTGGGAAGGATGGGTAGGTTCTGGCTGCCTGAAGCTAAATGCGGAAGTTCCAGTTGCCCTCATCACGGGCAGCAACATGGGTGACTGAGTCCAGAATACACCAGACGGGCCCATCCAGAGCCTCAGTGCGCCCAGCTCTGGCCATAGCTTTCTCCAGCCCTGGCTAAAATGAAACCTGTATCTTTTTCCAAGAAGCCCCAGAAACATAAAAGGAACCACAGTGGTTCCTTCTTCTCTGGCTCAGGCCTTGACCCAAAAACTGAAACTCAAACATCATCATCCACAGTCTCTGATGTGGGACCAGCTCATGTGTTGCTGGGATTCCTTTCCCACCTCTGGGCCAGCAGAGCCTGACATGTGCTAAGATTTAGCCCGGAACTCTCTCCCAATTCCCGCAACAGCCCCTGGGGTAATCCCAGCTCCGCTTGCCCTCCGCCTGCCCCTCCCCAGGCCTGGAGGAAGCTGTGGCTGTCCTGGCAGGGTCTGAGGGAGGGGGGCGGGATCTGTGGTGCTGAGTTTCCGCGATTACTCAATGCTTCTCTGGACGAGGGCACTGCAGAGCCAAGCCCAGCCTCCACACTCCTCTCTGGGCCTGTTTCCCAAACCGCAGGTCCCCGCTGGCACCACGCTTTCCACTCGGCTCAGCCAGACACCCACAGGCCCTGGGCACAGCTGAGTGGGGTGGGCCCTCCCCAGAGTCTGGGGCCTGGAGCTGGTCCAAAGAGAAACACTTTGCAGAACCACCCAGCAGGGCCGGGCGCGGTGGCTCACGCCTGTAATCCCAGAACTTTGGGAGGCCGAGGCAGGCAGATCACAAGGTCAGGAGTTTGAGACCAGCCTGGCCAACGTAGTGAAACCCCGTCTCTACTAAAAATACAAAAAATTAGCCAGATGTGGTGGCGGGCGCCTGTAATCCCAGCTACTAGGGAGGCTGAGGCAGGAGAATTGTTTGGACTGGGGAGGCGGAGGTTGCAGTGAGCCGAGATCGTGTCATTGCACTCCAGCCCAGGCGACAGTGCAAGACTCCATCTTAAAAAAAAAAAAAAAAAAACAGAACTGCCCAGCAGGAAGGAATCCGAGGGCTGGCACCCCACCCTTCTCTGGCACCAACGGTGCAGCCCGGGGTCACCAGACACCTGGGGCCAAGCAAAGCCCAGGAGGCAGGATGGCTGTGAGCTGTCGCTTGCCCTGCAGGTACCCCTCCACCCAGTTCGGCAGCCTCACGGGACTGCAGTCTCTGATCAGCGCGCTCTTCGCCCTTCTGCAGCAGCCGCTGTTTCTGGCCATGATGGGTCCTCTCCAGGGAGACCCTCTGTGGGTAAGAGGGGTCGGGGGATGGTGGGTCATGGGCGCCTGCCCCCTTCTGCTAACTGCGAGCTGCAAGGTCCCCCTCGGGGGCTTCAGGGCCCCGAGGACATGTGGGAGCGTTGGTTAGGATTGGTTAAGAGTCCCTTTGTGAATGGTGGCTAGGCAGGAAAAGGAACATGTCCTCTCTGGACCTGATTTGGGGAGAAATAGAACAGAGTTCCTGGGCCGGGCGCGGTGGCTCACACCTGTAATCCCAGCACTTTGAGAGGCCGAGGCGGGAGCATCACTTGAGGTCAGGAGTTCAAGACCAGCCTGGCCAACATGGTGAAACCAGGTCTCTACTAAAAATACAAAAATTAGCCAGGTGTGGTGGCAGGTGCCTGTAATCCCAGATACTCGGGAGGCTGAGACAGGAGAATCACTTGAACCCGGGAGGCGGAGATTGCAGTGAGCTGAGATTGCGCCACTGCACTCCAGCCTGAATGACGACAGCGCGAGACTTCGTCTCAAAAAAAAAAAAAAAAAAAAAAAAAGAACACAGTTCCTGTCCCCGCCCCACCTCCGAGGGCCAGATTTCCTCACCAGGTACCAGGAACTTGTTCCAAGCCCAGAGGTTCAGATCAGCCCGTGTTTCCTGGGGGCCCAGGCCCTGAGGGTGGCCACATGGCCTGTGAAGAGTTGGGAACCGGGACGCTGGCATATGGGACCTCGTGGGCCTTCCTGTTTCGTTCCCCCTTCCACCCCGTGACCTTCTCCCCTTTCCCAAACCCGAGTGGAGGGCGGGTCTGCAGCCTCGGCGCACCACCACGCCCTGTGATGCGCGGCCTCCCTGCCTCCCCAGGTGAACGTGGGGCTGCTCCTTCTCAGCCTGCTGGGCTTCTGCCTCCCGCTCTACCTGATCTGCTACCGGCGCCAGCTGGAGCGGCAGCTGCAGCAGAGGCAGGAGGATGACAAACTCTTCCTCAAAATCAACGGCTCGTCCAACCAGGAGGCCTTCGTGTAGTGGCTGCCGCCTCGGAACTGCGGTCTCCTGCCTGTGCTTCAGTGACTGACCCCTGTCCTGCCCCTCCAGAGTACCCCACGCACCCCCAGGACCTTCGCCGTCTCCGTGCCAGCGTTCACGCTCCCTCCCGGGGCCCTGCCTCGGAGCTCTGTGGTGGAAGGACGGGAGAGGGCCCCGGACACGCGCGTTTTCTCCTGCCGAACGCAGGGGCTGCCCTGACTTTGCTCTGCCGCCCCCCGGGGACCCGGGGCCTGGGGTCTCTGTGGTGCCTGCAGCAGGAGCCAGGAACGCCCGGCAGGCAGGCGCTCTCCCGCCAGTGTCTGGATTCTGCCTCTTGCCAAAGCAGAGGGGGCTGCCATCCCCTGCCTGCCACCTGCCCCTCGGCTGCATGCCCACAGCCGTACCTGCCTGAGGACAAAGGCTTGCACTGTCTCGCCCGCGCCTGGCCCCCACCCCCTCCCCGGCCAGCCTGAGGCTGCCTGAGGAAGGAAGGACCCGCTTCCTGTTGTCGGTGCTAATTCCTTTGTAATTCCAGCCCCCTGTCGCCTGTCCAGGGCCTGCCCACCCGTTGGAGGCCGGTGGAGAAGCCCCACCTGGCTTATGCCCTGGAGAGGGTTTAGCGGGCTGGGTGGACCCCTCGCCTCCTCCCCGAGGGCCAATGCCGCGGACACGTTTTCACTGTCACCCTCGTTCTGTCTGCCACCTGAAGGGAATTTGAGGACCGCCGCCAGGGCACCCCGTACATACACACAGCTGCTTTTGTGGAGGTGGACGAAAGGCTGTGGCCGGCAGACGTGGAGGTCCAGGCCGGGGTGGGGACGTGGGTGGGTCCGAGGTGTGTGTGGGGTCGGGGTGGGCTCTAGGAGTTAGCCCTTATCCCCACTGACCAGGCGGGAGCCGCCAGGCCTGCAGCTGGGCCAGTGCCCAGGAGCCATCCTGGCGTGGGGCCAGGAGCTTGTCCAAGGCCACAGGCCCACAGCACCCCCTGCCGGCGGGCTCCGTGGGGCCCTGGAGCTGATGACGGGGGAGGCCCGTCCGCCTGGCCCACCAACCCGCCCACCTTGACTGCCCCCAGAAGTGTGTCTTGAGACCTCCTGGGCGTGCTTAGAGGGGTGAGTTGTGTTTGGATTTTTAGTTATTTTCTCTTCAGTTTTATTAGACTTCTTTTTTATAAAGCAATAAATCCATTTTCCTCCGGGTAAGGGATGCCCCTTCTGGCATATCAGTTAATAGCTGCATGTGCCTATTTTGAGCTTGAGAAGAAAAGGCAGGACAAGATTCTCTGCCACCGACCAGCTCCAGCCGTGCCCAGCTGCTCTTCGTCTCTCTGGGGGACTGCTGACTCGGGAGGGACAGTGGGCCAGGAAAAGACCTTCCTCCCCAACCCCCAAACAAACTGGGCTTGTGCAGACATCTTAGAAGTGTGAGCCACCCTCCTCTACCGATTTTCCCAGCCAAACAGGCGAATCCTGGTCCCTTTCCATCCCTACACCCTTCCACAACCCTGAAGATTCCCGCTGGGTTCTTCTGCAGGCTCAGAGCAGTTCAGGATGTGGGCGGCAGGGAGGGGGATGAAAGGAGAAGAGGAAAGGGCAGGTCCAGGCCACATTCAAGCTCCACATTAACAGCTTGGGCGCCTGGAACACATATCTCCTAGGCTTTATTTCACTCAAATATTTAAAAAAAGACTGGGCGTGGTGGCTCACGCCTATAATCCCAGCACTTTGGGAGGCCAAGGCAGGAGGCTCACCTGAGGTCAGGAGTTCGAGACCATCCTGACCAACATGGAGAAACCCCGTCTGTACTAAAAATAAACATTAATCGGGCGTGGTGGCGTGCGCCTGTAATCCCAACTACTCGGGAGCCTGAGGCAGGAGAATCGCTTGAACCGGGGAGACGGAGATTGCCGTGAGTCGAGATCGCACCATTGCACTCCAGCCTGGGCAACAGAGCGAGGCTCCGTCTCAAAAAGAAAAAAAAAAAGAGAACGAGATAAACATGCCCACTCCTGAGAACACTCGTTTTGTGATGTTAGTGGTTATTCTGATTTTCAAGAAAGTATTATAGTCAAGTTTGGGAAAGGCTGAGTTAAAAGTCAAGCCTGTTTCCTTACAGCCAGCACTGACAGCACTTTGCCAACGCTCATGAGCTCCGTGGCTCCTCAGGAGCGGGTGTGCTGTGCTGCCGAGGAACGGCTCGAACCATCAGAGCCACCAGCCTCCACGTGCGGCTCCATGATCACCCCCAGCAGAGGCTCCCGGGTGCTGGTTCCAAATGGAGACTCCAGGTCTTGCCGCTGACCGGTGACTCTGCTGCCAGCATTTGAGACCCGCCATCACACAGGAGTTGCAGATTCGGAGAAACCCTAACTAGCCAGGGTGCTGCCAGCTGGGAAAAGGCCGCCTTTTTTTTTTTTTTTTTTTTTTTGAGTTGGGGTCTTGCTCTGCCATCCAGGCTGGAGTGCAGTGGTGCAACTGATAGCTCACCACGGCCTCCAACTCATGGGCTCAAGGGATCCTCCCACCTCGGCCTCCTAAGTATCTGGGACTATAAGTGTGTGCCACCATGCCTGGCTAATTTTTTTTTTCTTTTTCATAAAGATGAATTCTTGCTATTTTGCCCAGGCTGGTCTGGAACTCCTGGGCTGAAGCAATTCTCCCACCTCAGCCTCCCAAAGTGCTGAGATTACAGGCGTGAGTCACAATGCCTAGCCAAAAAGCCAGTCTTGAGATGGGGAAGACGTGGCCCGTGCTGTCCCCAGCAGTGCCCAGTCCCAGCCAAAGTGGGCAGTGCTGCCTCACTCTCCCACCCACCCTCAGGGTGTGGCACTTACTGGGAAGAAGCAGGCATTGAGAAACAGAATTGAGGGGGGGAAACAGTCCAGGGCCAACAGTGCTTGGGGATTGAGGCCTGAAAATGCGAGCAGGGTACAGAGGCTGTGGCTGGCCAGATGGGTCGGGTGCCCCCTGCACTCCCACCCCCTAGTCAGGGGTCACCCATCCTACTTTGCCTTGTGTGGAGCTGACAGGTGACATGTTTTCCTATTGTTGTCCTTGACTTGATAACAATCTGGGAGTTAAACACATATGATCATCCCTGCTTTACAACTGAAAAACGAGGCCTAGAGATACTATCATCATATACACCTGAAAAACGAGGCCTGGAGCGATGGAGGAGCTTGTTCAAGGTCAGAGCCAGCACTCATATATGGGTCTTAAGACACTGGAGCAGCCAAGGGCCTCTAGACCAGGACATTCCACTCGGAGCAGCAGCTCAGGGGCCACCAGGCCTCTGTGGCAGGGGGACCTCTGTGGCAGGGGGGACCTCTGTGGCGGGGGGGGGGCCTCTGTGGCAGGGGGGTCACAGCCCAAGGAAGGGGAGCAGGCCCAGGCATGGTTTCCGTTTCTGGGAGCCAAGAGCCTTCTCAGAAGAGGGGGAGAGAGCTACTGCATGGAATCATTTGGGCCCTGGAGGCTGATGGGTACTTGGGGGAGCAATCCCTGGTGACCCCAACCAGCAAGACAAGTGCCCTGTGAAGGGGAAGGGACTACAGCTGATCAAAGGAGCAGGCACCAGTGGCCGGGCCTCCCGTCTGCCCCTCATCCTCCAGGCTCTGGCGGGAAGGAGCAGGAAGGGCTCCCTGCCCTTGGGGTTTTGATCAGTGAGGAGGGGGGCTTGGGTCTGAGTCTGGGTCTGGGTCTGCTGCCGAAACACTGCCCCCAGTCCCTCTCCTCACTAGACTCTGGGGTCTAGGCGTGTCTTTGTGGTCGGCCTTCTCCAAACCCTCTAGGCCTCTGTCTGCAGCTGCTGCTGCCTGGACCTATACACAAGGTCCCACCCCTCACCGGGGCCAAAGACGTGGTTGCAGGCCCTGGTGGATCCTTTCTGTTTTGCTCCATCCCCGTCCCCTCTTGCACCCAGCATCGTCCTGGTCAGAACTTCCGTTTAAACCTTCCTTGCCTGCCGTGCACTCCGAGGGGGGCGTCACTTTGCCATAGGCCCCAGGGCTGAAAATGGCGGGACATCCAGTATTGGGCTCACGTGCATAAGACTGTCCCAGACAGCAGCACAATCACGTTCAGCCAAGTGGAGTTTCCGACGCACTTGTGTGGCAGCCGCGTGAATGTGAGCCGATATGCAGCTGGGAGGGGTTGTGGGCCTCCTGCGGTGAGGGGCTCCTGCCAGGAGCTCTGAGAAGCCTCCACAGAATCAGCCGTCGGGCTCCTTCAGCAGCAGCTCCCCTTATCTGTGCCAACGACTGGGGGCCTAACTCAAGGGTGCCAGCCCGTCTTCCGCCAATACAGACTGTGGGATTCTGAGAGTTAGGAGCCTGGGGTCCCCTGGGGTGGGGTGGTCAGGGTGAGCAGGTGGGCTCTGTGAGCCTGTTTCCCCATGCCCTGACTCACCCCAATCCCTGGGTGAGGACAGAGCTCCTGAAGGCCACTGAAGGAGGTGCAGCACACTCCACCTGGGTGGCCTTCCGCAGCTCAGCCCTCTTCCTGCCAGCAGGAAGCCTCTGCCTGTGCTCCTTAAGTTAGCCATCCTCACCCCCTCCGGGCAGCTCTGAGACTGAGCCAGGGCCACTAGCAGCACCCAGACCTCGACCCTTCTCAGACCGAGGCGCCACCACCCCAGGCCGAGGAGGCAAGGAGGGAAGACCAAAGTCTAGAGGACTGTCTTGGTGGCCCTGGGCGAGTCTTGAACTTTGGTGCCATCATCTGCAAAAGGGAGGAAAGAATGCCTGCGTGGTGCAGCTACGTGGATACGCAGTGAAGACCCGCATGGTGGGACGCCTGGCACTTAACAATGGTAGCATTTGGCCGGGCGCGGTGGCTCACGCCTGTAATCCCAGCACTTTGGGAGGCCGAGGCGGGCGGATCACGAGGTCAGGAGATCAAGACCATCCCGGCTAAAACGGTGAAACCCCGTCTCTACTAAAAATACAAAAAATTAGCCGGGCGTAGTGGCGGGCGCCTGTAGTCCCAGCTACTTGGGAGGCTGAGGCAGGAGAATGGTGTGAACCCGGGAGGCGGAGCTTGCAGTGAGCCGAGATCCCGCCACTGCACTCCAGCCTGGGCGACAGAGCGAGACTCCGTCTCAAAAAAAAAAAAAAAAACAATGGTAGCATCGTTTTCAGTGCCCAGGAAGAAGGCAGCTGGGACAGGGAAAGGGCCACCACACCACACCCAAGCCCATACAACAGGAGAGCCACTTTCAGCAGCTCTGAGCAGGACAGACTTGTGGCCAAGTCAAGAAAGTAAGGTCTGGTCCCAGCGAGGTGGCTCATCCCTGTAATCCCAGTGCTTTGGGAGGCCGAAGCGGGGGCGGGGTGGATCACTTGAGGTCAGGGGTTTGAGACCAGCCTGACCAACATGGTGAAACCTCAACTCTACTAAAAATACAAAAATTAGGGCCGGGCGCAGTGGCTCACGCCTGTAATCCCAGCACTTTGGGAGGCTGAGGCGGGCGGATCACAAGGTCAGGAGATCGAGACCAACGTGGCTAACACAGTGAAACCCCATCTCTACTAAAAATACGAAAAAAAAAAATTAGCTGGGCGTGGTGGTGGGTACCTGTAGTCCCAGCTACTTGGGAGGCTGAGGCAGGAGAATGGCATGAACCCGGGAGGTGAAGCTTGCAGTGAGCCGAGATTGTGCCACTGCACTCCAGCCTGGGCGACAGAGCAAGACTCCGTCTCAAAAAAAAAAAAAAAAAAAAAAAAAGTAAGGTCTGTATCTGCTGACCCCACCCTTCTCCGAAGCCCTCTCCGAGCAAAGCCTTAAGAAACTCTTCTCTCGTTCACTTTTCTTTTGTGGCTTTCACGTTTTGGTAAGACTTGGCCAAATAGCTGCTCGAGATAATCAATCACTGGTGGACAAGTTTCTGCTGAGTGAGGTTTCTGCTGAGTGGGGCGACTCAAGGCACGGTCACGTAGGCAGCACCTGTACACCGCATCCTCATACAGCTGCGGGACCGTGCCTCTGACTGTGTGCGTGTGTGTTTATCTAAGTGTGAGATGCATCCGGGCATGTCAGGGTGTGTACATGTTGGGAAGACTGTGTAGATTTCTTGTGTGCCGCTCTCTGAATGGAGGAGAGGGGAAGCGTCTTACCTCGCTGAATCCCTTTCCATTGCTGGAAAGAACACCTGGGCAGGAGCGGCCCCAAGACCCCGCCCAGGCCCTCGGAAGGGAGCCTGAAGGGTTAATCCGTACCCTGTATTAACCAGGGTCAACCCAGCGGCTGACCCGCCTCTTCCCTGCTCCTTTGCCGTTTCTAGCACCTGGCTTACTTCCTGGCACACAGTGAGCACTCAATAAATGTATGCTGAGAATGACTGCGAGCGGCTTCCTCCTTGGCTCCTGTGTCTCTTTCTCCCTAGATCACACATTTCTCGCCTCTTGTCTGGTGCCCAGGTTCCCTGTCCCTTGACTGGGATGCGTTCCTGACCCCCACCCCTGCCAGGCTGCATTTGCTGGTTGATCTGCATTGCCATTTGAAGGAGTGTGGGAGGGCAGAGCAACAGGCCTTTTGGGTGGGAAGACCAAGGCTGCTGGTGAATTCTGCTTATAAAGGAAGCCCCCTCGGATCACCTGAAGTCAGGAGTTCGAGACTAGCCTGACCAACATGGTGAAACCCTGTCTCTTCTAAAAATACAAAAAGTAGCCAGGCGTGGTGGCGAGCATTTCCAGCACTTTGGGAGGCCGAGGCGGGCAGATCACGAGGTCAGGAGATCGAGACCATCCTGGCTAACATGGTGAAACCCTGTCTCTACTAAAACTACAAAAAATGTCCAGGTGCGGTGGCTCACGCCTGTAATCCCAGCACTTTGGAAGGCCGAGGCGGGCAGATCACGAGCTCAGGAGATCAAGACAATCCTGGCTAACACGGTGAAACCCCGTCTCTACTAAAAATACAAAAAAGTAGCCGGGCGTGGTGACGGGTGCCTGTACTCCCAGCTACTCGGGAGGCTGAGGCAGGAGAATGGCGTGAACCCGGGAGGCGGAGCTTGCAGTGAGCGGAGATTATACCACTGCGCTCCAGCCTGGGCAACAGAGCGAGACTCCGTCTCAAAAAAAAAAAAAGAAAAGAAAGAAAAAAACATTCTTTGAAGGCTGGCGCATGCTCTGCCTTGGTCCCCACTCTACCCCCAGTGCCTAGAATCGTGCCTGGCATGGAATAGCTGCTCAATAAATATTTGGGGGACGAAGTTTAAAAAGAGAGAGAGACAGAAATACCACAGAAAAGAAGCTAAAATAGACTAAGAGGCTGGGAGAAGAGCAGAGCGGAAGATGGAAACAGTGAAATACAGTCTCCCCAGGACACCCAGAGATGGGTTACAGGGCTGGCTATAACCGACGCAGTACCAAGGGTCAACCACCCAGGGGAAACCATGCTGAGAACTGGAACCGTGAGATCCACAGACACAATGATGAAAGAGTGGCCGGGTGCCGTGGCTCATGCCTGTAATCCTGGCACTTTGGGAGGCTGAGGCAGGTGGATCGCTGGAGCCTAGGAGTTGGAGACCAGCCTGGCCAACATGGTGAAACCCCATCTTTACTAAAAGGGCAAAAAATTATCCGGGCGTGGTGGCGGGCACCTGTAATCCCAGTTACTCGGGAGGCTGAGGCAAGAGAATTGCTTGAACCTGGAAGGCAGAGTTTGCAGTGGGCTGAGATGGCACCATTGCACTCCAGCCCGGGCAACAAGAGTGAAACTCCATCTCAAAAAAAAAAAAAGAAAAAACAAAACAAAACAAAAAGACGAAGGAGTGAGAGAGAGAAATAGACTGTGATAGAACACAGCAGACACAGGGGAAAGGAGATAGCCGCAAAGAGACGATGAAACATGGGGTCTTGTGGTTCACATCTATAATCCCAGCAATTCGGGAGGCCCAGCCAGGAGGATCGTTTGAGCCCAGGAGTTTGAAACCAGCCTGGGCAACATAATGAGAGCTTGTCTCTTAAAAAAAAAAAAAAAAAAAAAAATTGGCCAGGCGCAGTGGCTCACGCCTGTAATCCCAGCACTTTGGGAGGCTGAGGCGAGCAGATCACGAGGTCAGGAGATCGAGACCATCCTGGCTAACATGGTGAAACCCCGTCTCTACTAAAAATACAAAAATTAGCCGGGCGTGGTGGCGGGCTCCTGTAATCCCAGCTACTCGGGAGGCTGAAGCAGGAGAATCGCTTGAGCCCCGAGAGATGGAGCTTGCAGTGAGCCGAGATCATGCCACTGCACTCCAGCCTGGGCGACAGAGCAACACTCTGTCTCAAAAAAGAGAAGAAAAACAAAACAAGGGCTGGGCGCGGTGGCTTACACCTGTAATCCCAGCACTTTGGGAGGCCGAGGCAGGCGGATCACGAGGTCAGGAGATCGAGACCATCCTGGCCAACACGGTGAAATCCCGTCTCTACTAAAAATGCAAAAATTAGCCAGGCGTGGTGGCATGCGCCTGTAATCCCAGCTACTCGGGTGGCTGAGGCAGGAGAATAGCTTGAACAAGGGAGTCGGAGCTTGCAGTGAGCCGAGATCGCCACTGCACTCGAGCCTGGTGACACAGCAAGATTCTGTCTCAAAAAATAATAATAAAAAAAAAAAAAAAAACAAAGACTGAGACCACAGGAAGTGGGAGAGAGGGGAAGGGAAAGGCCCAAAGAGGAGAGACAGGAAGCGAGGTAAAGGTGAGGCAGAAATGCAGAGAGCCCAGAGAAGTGAGACGACAGTCATAAAGGGAGACAGAGATGTGAAGGGAGGGACAGAGAACAGAGAGAGAATGAGACAGGGTGACAGAGGTCCAGAGAGAGACAGCCTGGGAGAGCCAGAGAGACACAAGTGAGAGACAGAGAGATACGAAAGGGACAGGAGAAACAGGAAGAGAGAGGGAGCTTGAGAAACTGAGAGAGGACGGACAGAGGGAGCAAGGCAAAGAGAGAGAGATCCATGGAAAGCTGCTCGTTTCTTTCCTCTGTTAAGCCTGGAGCATGCAGAAATGCAGAAGTAGGTTTTTTGTTTTGTTTTGTTTTTGATACAGAGTCTTGCTCTATCTCGGCTCACTGCAACCTCTGCCTCACAGGTTCAAATGATTCTTCTGCCTCAGCCTCCCGAGGAGCTGGGACTACTGGCGCACACCTCCACGCCTGGCTAATTTGTGTATTTTTAGTAGAAACGGGGTTTCACCATGTTGGCCAGGCTGGTCTCGAACTCCTGATCTCAGGTGATCCACACACCTCGGCCTCCCAAAGTGCTGGGATTACAGGTGTGCGGCACCGTGACCAGCCTAGAGGTAGTTTTGAGGGGCAGGGGTGTCCATCCCTCCTTGTTCACAACGCCCTTTTCCCAATAATTAATAATAATAATAATAATAATAATAATAAGGAAATATGCCACTCACTGCAGAAAGCTGCTTCATGTCCATTGCCTCATCCAAGGAGGCTCAGCAGCCCCATGACGCAGGTACCGGCATGTTCCCTATTTCCCAAGTGAAGAAACTGAGATACAGAGAGGTTAAGTCACTTGCACAAGGTCACAGAGGTAGGAAGTGGAGGCCTGGGACTCCAAGGCAGCGGAAGTCTGTGTCCTGGGTGGGGCTGTTGGCTCACAGTGTGGCACAGCTGGAGAGTGGTGTGACCCCTGCGTCTAACCCGTATGGACATCTGCAGCAAACTTGCTATTGAAAAAGATGTAAAAAACGTAACTCAAAATAAAGTGTGAAAAAAAAAAATACATGGACCTTGCCTGGATACTGAACTTCTCTAAAGGAAACTATAGCATTTTTTAGATTAGCAGGGAAATTAGAATATGAACTGGGGATGAGATAGCATCAGGAAATCATTATTAATTTTGTTAAGTATGACAATGGCATTATGCATTTGTAAGAAATGTGCATATTTCTAGAATGTGCACTGTAACCTGGAGGGGTGAGATGACATGATGTCCAAGGTCGGCTTGTTTTTTTTTATTTTAATTTAAATTTAATTTTATTTTCTTATTATACTTAAGTTCTAGGGTACATGTGCACAACGTGCAGGCTTGTTACATATGTATACATGTGCCATGTTGGTGTGCTGCACCCATTAACTAGTCATTTACATTAGGAATATCTCCTAATGCTATCCCTCCCCCTCCCCCCGTCCCACAACAGGCCCCAGAGTGTGATGTTCCCCTTCCTGTGTCTAAGTATTCTCATTGTTCAATTCCCACCTATGAATGAGAACATGCAGTGTTTGGTTTTCTGTCCTTGCTATAGTTTGCTGAGAATGATGGTTTCCAGATTCATCCATGTCCTTACAAAGGATATTAACTCATCCTTTTTTATGGCTGCATAGTATTCCATGGTGTATATGTGCCACATTATCTGAGACTTTTTTTTTTTTGAGACAGAGTCTAACTCTCGCCAGGCTGGAGCGCAGTGACACGATCTTGGCTCGCTGCAACCTCTGCCTCCTGAATTCAAGTGATCCTCCTGCATTCAAGTGATCCTCCTGCCTCAGCCTCCCGAGTAGCTGGGACTACAGGCGCGTGCCACCACACCCAGCTAATTTTTGTATTTTTAGTAGAGACAGGGTTTCACCATTTCAGCCAGGATGGTCTTGATCTCTTGACCTGATGATCCGCCCGCCTCAGCCTCCCAAAGTGGTAGGATTATAGGAGTGAGCCACCGCGCCCGGCTGTGCCACATTTTCTTTATCCAGTCTGTCATTGATGGGCATTTGGGTTGGTTCCAAGTCTTTGCTATTGTGAATAGTGGTCGGCTTGTTTTTTTGAGACAGAATCTTGCTCTGTCGCCCAGGCTGGAGTGCGGTGGCATGATCTCGGCTCACTGCAACCTCTGCCTCCAGGGCTCAAGCGATTCTCCTACCTCAGCCTCCCGAGTAACTGAGACGACAGGCACATGCCACCACACTGAGCTAATTTTTGTTTTAGTAGAGATGGGGTTTTACCATGTTGGCCAGGCTGGTCTTGAACTCCTGGCCTCAAGTGATTCGCCCGCCCCAGCCTCCCAAAGTGCTGGGAATCCAGGTGTGAGGCACTCAGCCTGGCCCCCACTCTAGGATCTGATAAGTGAGCACAGTGCTCAGGGCAGTCGCGGGCCGCCAGTCACATCCTGATAGCAACACGGCCAGCTGCTCCACCCTCCCTTCCCAAGTCCCTGTCTTAGGCAGCCCACTCCCATCTCCCCTGGATGCCCCTCTAGCGTCCTGCGCTGAGTGTGAGTCCAGCACTGGAGTCATTACCTGCCCCCATGCCAGCCTGTCTTGCCTGTGTTCTCAGAGAAGACAGTACCGTCCACCCCGGCTCCCAGGCCAGAGACCTCGCTGCTTTTCTCTCCTCCTCTCAGCCAATGAGTCAACAAGTCTCACGGAGTTTACCTTCTGAGTTGCTCCTGAATCCATCCCTTCCTTTTCTTCCCTCCCACTGTCCTAGTCCACCTGCACCTGGACATCTGCAGCAGCCTCCTCGCCGGTCTCCCTGCCTACGCTCTGGCATTCCATCCCCTCTGTCCACCCAACCACTAGAGTGAGCCTTCGCCCAGGACACCCGCTCATGTCACTGCTCAGAGCCCTTACATGCCCTCCCACCGCCCTTAGGGTGGACTCCAAATACCTTATCATCGTTCACCAGGAACCCTCCCCTATTGAGCTGCTCAGCCCTGAAATGTTCTGTTCCACTCACTTGTCAGTTCTCCAAATGCACCATGCTCTCCCTCTTGCCTCCAGCCTTTGCATTCACTCTGCCTGCTATGCTCTTCTCCGAAGCCCTCTGCAGATCTGAGAATCTCTTCCTCCAGGAAGCCTTCCCTGACTACATCCCTGACGCTCAATTAGGTGCCCCTCCGTGTAATGCCGCTAAGCCTGTGTCTCATTTCTCACAGCCCTTTTCATTCTTTTTTTTTTTTTTTTTTTTGATGCAGAGTCTCGCTCTGTCGCCCCAGCTGGAGTGCAATGGTGCGATCTCGGCTCACTGCAACCTCCGCCTCCAGGGTTCAAGCGATTCTCCTGCCTCATCCTCCCGAGCAGCTGGGACTACCACCACCACGTCCACCACCACGCCCGGCTAATTTTTGTACTTTTAGTAGAGATGGGGTTTCGCCATCTGGTCTGGAACTCCTGACCTCAGGTGATGCGCCCGCCTGAGTGCTGCATTACAGGCATGATGTGCCTGGGATTACTGCCAGGAGCCACCGCGCCCGGCCTCACAGCCCTTTTCTTTTCTTTTTTTTTTTTTTGAGACGAAGTTTCACTCTTGTCCCCCAGGCTGGAGTGCAATGGCGCGATCGCGATCTCGGCTCACTGCAAACTCTGCCTCCCGGTACAAGCGATTCTCCCGCCTCAGCCTCCCGTGTAGCTGGGATTACAGGTGCGTGCCTCCACGCCCAGCTAATTTTTGTATTTTTAGTAGAGACGGGGTTTCATCATGTTGGCCAGGCTGGTCTCGAACTCCTGACCTCAGGTGATCCGCCCGCCTCGGCCTCCCAAGGTGCAAGGATTACAGGCGTGGGCCACCGCGCGCGGCTATTAATATTTTTTGAAACAACCTTTTCCTGGGTCTCAATTCCCTCAACCGGGGAGGCCCCCCAGCCAGCACCCGCGTGCATCCGTGGCGGTTCACACCGAGGACGGTGACGGACACCCTAGTCTGCTCCGCCTTCTGCCGGGTCTGGCCCCAGCCGCGGGGCCCCACCTCGGAACCGACAGCGCCGCCGCGGCCCACTTAAGGACGGGAGGGCGGGCCTGGGAAGGCTCGGCCCCGCGTGACGTCAGCGCGCACCGCGGCGTGTGACGCTCTGGTTGCCGCAGAGACGCCCCGCCCCCGCGCGGCGCTGCGGAACCGGAGCTCCGGGCGGCGTCGGCAGCGGCGCGAGAGGCGACGAGGCCCGGGCGGCAGGAGCCGGCGCGGCGACCGCGGCGAGGGCGGCGGGGACGGAGCAGAGCACGACGAAGACGCACAGGCAGCCGGGCCGGGCCGGGCCACGGGGAGAGCGGCCGGCGGGCAGCGGGCGGGAGGCCGGGCGGGCCGCGGGCAGCCACCGAGCCGCGAAGCGACATGGTGCTGCTCAAGGAGTAGTGAGTGTCCGGCGGCCGTGCGGAAGCGGGGAGGAGGGAGGGTGGGGACGGCCGCCGGGGCGACGGCGCGGCGAGGGACGCAGGGCCCGGATGGACGGAGGGGCAGCAGGGACGGAGGGTGCCTGAGGCGGGCCCAGCGGGGATGGAGGGGATCCGGGGCGGGCGGCACGTGAGGCGGGGCCCACGGGGCACGGAGGGGCGGCCGGGGCGTGGAGGGGCGGCCGGGGCGTGGAGGGGCAGCCGGGGCGTTCGGCATCTGAGCCGGGGCCCACGGGGCATGGACGGGCAGCCGGGGCATGGAGGGGCCCACGGGCACGGAGGGACAACCCGGGCGGACGGCTCCTCAGGCGCCCCGGGGGCCTCGGAGGCCCAAGTGGACCCGAGGAGAGGCCGGGGACAGCGAGGGCGAGGCCAGGCCCGAGACGGGGTCAGGGCAGGGAGAGCTGGCCCGGGACTGGGGGAGGCCGAGGGGACGCCGAGCGCTGGGAGTGCTGTGGGGTCGCTCTGCGCGGGCCGAGGGCGCGGGCTCAGCCGGGACTGCAGGCGGCGCTGAGAGGCCCCGCGGCGGCCGAGGAAGAGGCGCACCGGGGCAGGCAGGGCCTCCCGGCGGTGGGGAAAGGTGGAGGGCCGAACAGTTCACACGGAGAGCCGGGTGGATGGGTCAGAGGCTCCGCGATGGAGTTGGGATGGGGATGGGGAGGAGTGGCCGCCTTAGGCATCGGGTGAGGGGTGGTGGTAAGTGGACACAGGAGGAGGACTAGGAAGTCAGGGCCTGGCTGGGGAGACAGGTGAAGGGTCTGAGGACATGCAGAGGGGGCTGAGATGCGGGCCGGAGTAACCGTGGTGCCCAAGCAGCTGGTGCGGAAGAGGAGGCTTTTGGAACAAGCTTGGGATGACTGCTTGGGACGTGGGGAGACTTGGGCGAGGAGGCCAGAAAATGTTGGGTAGGGTCCGAAGTGGAGAAGGCCGGGAAGTTACCGGGGTCGAGGCTGGTCCGGAAAGAGAGTATGTTGGGATGAGTATACCTGCCGTTGGAGATGGGGGAGACCAGGGCAGGGCCAGCTTGTTTCTAGGGGATTCTCAGTCTTGGTGCAAAGAGATGGGGAAATTCTTTGAGGAATTGAGGGGTCCATGGAGCCGTGAACTGAGGAGAGATGGTGGAAGGGGTGGGGAGCTCTTGAGTAGTGAAGAGGGGTGCGTGGGAAACTGGTGACTTCTGGAAGGAGTTGCAGGATGACGGGTTTGCTCCTGAAATCCAGGGGACTGGGGGACAGGTGGAGATGTTTGGTGTGCTAAATCTTTCAAGTACAAGATGAGCCATCGTTGAAGCTCAGGGTTCCAAGTAAGCATCACAGGACATTTTTCTCCCCAAAGAGGAGAGATAGGATGGGTGTGTGTGTGTGTGTGCGTGTGCGTGTGTGCACAGAATTTACAGTGAAACTGCTTTCCTGGAGGGAGGGCCAGAAGCCCCAGGAGTGGGAGATGGTCAAACAGAGAGCAACTTGTGAGGCAGCCAGGCAGGTGTGCAGAGAGCTCTTGCCACTTTGTCAGCGATCGCACTTTGACCATCCCCACCAGGCTGGCTCCTTGGAGGTGCTTAGGACATTTAGGACATAGAGTGGAGTTTGGGTAACAGAGGGAGCTGAGACCCACATGTCATCCCAGCTAAACACCTCATCTGAAGAGCATTATTTTGAGGCCTCATCCCCTCTGTTTCTTGACATCCAGTCTGATGTTAATTCAGCCAGGGCTCGGAGCTTTTCCTGGTGAGGAGGAAGAACTTTACGATGCCAACAGGAGAACGTGGTGCACTTTAGATTTTAATCTTCAGTGTCCAGACTGACAGGCTTTTCCCATCCTTCTGATTCTTTTTCCTGTTCCCAAATGAACCCTAGAATCTGTAGAAATCTGTGGTTTTGAAATGAAGGTCAGGCAGGGAAAGGAAGGGACCTTCAGAGGAGATCTGAGTGAGGTTTGAAGAGAGGCACTCCTTCCCTGTCTTTGTTCTCCTCCCCTTGAAGCCTGCAAGGGAAAAGTCCAAGGTGCCGGAGATGCAGGGCCTGCCTGGTATCTGCGTTTCCTTCCTGCCCGACTCGTGCCCCGTGTGTGCATCCCTGGGCGGGGGACGGGGGAGGAGCAGGGGCATCAGGGCATCCGAGACACTGGCTGTGGCCGCAGCGTTGCAGCCCTGGAAAGGGTGCGAGTGAAGGTCACATTAGAGTGAGTGCCGCTCCAGGCCCAGCCCGGCAGTTCCTCTGTGGCCCTGTCCTTTGGAATTGTACCCTATTGCTGCCGAAGTGGTTTTGTTCCTAAGGAGCAAGGGGGCAGTGTCAGAGTGTGCAGCCGTCACGTCAGCAGCCTCAGCGCATCCCGTCAGGAATTGGCCCATGGCATTCTCTTTTGGGGTGAGACTTGGTTCCCACCCAGCGTCTGCAGGTTGCCCCTGTTGATTTTTCCAACACTTCCTCTAACAGGATTCTGTTTAATTTGATTTCTGCAAAATCTTGGATGTGATTTTGACTGCTGTTCTTGAAGATAAAAGGCTTATTGTTTTCTAGGAAGTTTCTTCTGAGGGTGCAGAAATTCTGGCCTCCAAGTTGGGAGTATTTTTCTGCACCACTGGCTTTCTGTAATGGGAGGGGAGGCTCACTGGCAGCATTCAGTAAACTGGAGGATTTATGTTGTTTGAGTTGCTCTGGAGGAAGGGAGTTGTTAGCAGGCAGTAAAGACTTGGAGCCCATTTTGTTTTTCCTGCTACTTTCCTGCTTGGTGTCTTGCCTTTGAGGTGATGTTTTCCTCAGACCCCTCTGTGTCCTTCTTGCTTCCTGGGGGACCTTTGTGGAACTAGAAAATAGCTGTTTACTAGCCTGGAGCAAGGAGCCTGAGTGGTGAGCCGGCTGCATAAGGAAGGCACAGCAGCTCATGCTTCCCTAATGCTTCACTAAACATGCAAGACACAAAAGGACCCAGAGGGCTCCAGCAAGGGTCTGGGGACCGAACGTCTAAGCTTGGAAACTGGCTGGACTTGTATGGGTAAAACCAAGAGTTTTTGTCTTAGCTCTCCCGCCTCACAGCTTTGAACTGGGGGTGGCTCTTGGTCTGCATTTCACATGCACGGCACCTGGAGAAGTGCTGCTAGCCCTGGCACCTCTGTGGGGTTCTGGCCCTGGCGGAGACTTTGCCGGCCACGGCTTCTCCAATAGGTTGCTGGTGGCATCTCCAGCAATTGGTGGTCATTGAGTTGGAGAAGAAGAAAAGAAAATGATAAATTGGGATTCCTTTGGACAGCTCCTGGAGGTCAGGACATAAGTTGAATGCCCTCTTGGTGGCTTTGTGGTAGCAGCTTGGATTGTAATATCCAGCCCCGAGCAGAGATGCCCGGTGTGTGTTCTTAGGCTTCAAGGGGCTTGGTCCCTTCCTGGCCCTTCCCCTGGAGGGCTGTTGTTGGGAGGTTGGGTCCACAGAAATTTAAGTCCCCAGGGCCTCTTGTTTGGGTCTGAATCCTCACCATGATAGGTCCTCCTGTGTTAACCTGTCTTACTAGACTCACTGGCAAGTCTTGTTGGGGGGACGACTCATTGGCAAGTTTGGGTGAAGTTTATCATCCATATGTCCAGTTCCGAATGTGAGGTGGAGGCCTGGGAAGTAGCTGGCGGGAGGATAGGTTTGGACTGAATCACAGGGTTCTAACTGGGATGCCTCAAGGTACAGAGGGTCCTGTCCTCAGAGCACTAAGAGGGCCATTCTCTGGGGGGGGGGGCGGGGGGGGGGTGTTGTCACAGAGTTTAGTGTCTTACACCTCTAGGGCACAGAGGGTCCTGTCCTCAGAGCACTCAAAGGGCCATTCTCTGTGGGGTTTTCGTCACTGAATTTAGTGTCTTACACAATAGAATGCTGCTGACTGTTTTAGGATGATGCTTTAAAGAGCCTTGAGCAGATTGCACAGCCTAAAGTTGATACTCTCTTTTCCCTTTCTTATAGTCGAGTAATCCTGCCTGTGTCTGTAGATGAGGTAAGTCCTTTTACTTTCTGGTCCATAGTTGTGTGTAACTGTTTGTGACCATTGGCTAAGCTGGGCTCTGAGTGGTTATCCTGTTTATATAGTTTTCTTATTTGTTCTAACATAAATATTTCAATGTGAATTTCGTGGTGCCACTTTCAGTTGAAAAATGGCACTTACTTTGTATATCTGGGTAACTGTGTGCAACCTGTCCCAAGCTGTTGGTATGCTGGATGAGTAGAGATTAAACCAGCCCCTTTTATCTGCTGGGGCTGTGCATGTCTGGGGACCCTTTTTTTTTTTTTTTTTTGAGACGGAGTCTTGCTCAGTTTCCCAGGCTGGAGTGCAGTGGTGCGATCTCCGCTCACTGCAACCTCTGCCTCGTGGGTTCAAGCTATTCTCCTGCCTCAGCCTCCCAAGTAGCCGGGATTACAGGTGTGTGCCACCACACCCGGCTAATTTTTATATCTTTAGTAGAGATGGGCTTTCACCATGTTGGCCAGGCTGGTCTCAAACTCCCGACCTCAAGTGATCCGCCCGCCTCAGCCTCCCAAAGTGCTGGGATGACAGGCGTGAGCCCCCACACCCGGCCGGGGACGCATTATTGATGGGATCAAGTGTGTGCATTTCTGGGACGTCCGTGACTCGGCTGGCAAGTGTGCGTGGCTCTTTCTGGTTGTGCAACAAACCAGCAGGGCAGGAAATCTCTTGAGGCTCTCCCTAGCCACGATAGGTGACTGCTGGAAAGACCAAGACACAGAACCCTCCTTTTACGAAGGGCAGGGAATAACACATAGGCTTGGCTTGTCCTCTGTCCTTTTACGGTTCCTGGGTCTGACATCCTTGTATGTGGGGATCTGGCAGCAGGATTTGCTGTAAGAAGGTTCATAGGCCATGCTGACTCAGAGTCAGTCTCTTGGACAACGGAAAACTGTCACGGAACCTCCCTTGTCTCACTCTTTCTCTGAACTTCTTCCACTCTCCTCTCCTGGCGCAGCCTTGTTCTTTGCTTCCTTCTGAAATCACAGCCCCACCCCGCCCCAGCTTCCAGTTAAACTCGAGTTTGGGTGAGGTTCGTCAGCCAGTATAGTGCCTCCAGTCACTGGGCTCCGTCTCTCTTTCCTGCAGTGTCAGCATGAAGCTCCTGTGATAACTTCCACTCTGTTCCCAATATGAACTGCACCTTTGAAAAATGAAATCAGGCCAGCAGAGCCTGCAGCACATTTAGTTGAGACAGACATCCAGGCTTGTTGGCCCCCGAGAGGGGTGGGCAGACACTGGCCCTTTAGAGGACTGCCTCCAGGGGTGGGCTACATATCTGATAAGAGCTGTGGGGACCTGGGGAGGGGGCCAGAGGTGGGCCTTGACCGTGATCTTGGGGTTCTGGGAAGGGCAGAAAAGAGAAACGAGACTGGGGAACCTGGGAACCAGGGAGAATGAGGGAATGGCTGGGTAGATGGCTCTAATCCCTGTAGGCACTGGGGATGTACCTGGGGCCTGAGAACCAGGTGCCTGGGCTGACAGGTGTTGGCTTGGAAGGGTCTTGTTAACCCACCTGCTTTGGCCATGCTGTCTTTATTTTTTTTATTTTATAATATTTATTTTAAATAGTGGAGATAGGGTCTCACTCTGTTGTCCACGCTGGTCTTGCCTCAAGTAGTCCTCCTGCCTCAGCCTCCCAGAGTGCTGGGATTACAGATGTCAACCACTTCACCCAGCCTGTGCTGTCTTTATTGAAAATAGCAAGCGATGATTTTCCAAACCAGAAGGCCAAGCAGGAAAGCCCAGCGCGTCCCTTGCCCTCAAACTCAGCTCTTGGGGAGGTGTCCAGTGACGTCCTCTCTGCTGTACAGGATGATCCCACCCCGATCGTTAGGAAGATGTGCCCCAGGAACTCGGGATTTCCTTAGTGTGGTGATTAGGGGTGAAATGGATCCTTTGATAGGGAGTTTCTTGATGGAACGAAGGGCGAGAGTGTCTCTGAGAAGTGCTGCAGACCAAGGAGGGCCAGCCTGTCCTGGAGCACCTGGGGCTGTTCTTGGAGTAAGGCTGAAGGGCCAGACACTGATGGCTTATGGTGGGGCCAAGACTGGAAGGAAAGGGGAACTTCCACCTTGAGAGCATCCACAGTTGGCGGGTGTTCACTTGTGATGGTTTTTCTGCAGCATTGAGGAAGTGGTGGGGCGGAGTTGAGTAATCAGAGCCTGAAGTCTAAGCAGAAGCTTGGGAAGTGAGTGCTGATCAGGATTCACCTGTCTGCCTGGCAGTGGTCAGCCCGTTCTCAGCAAGAAACCATTGACAAGAAAGTACCACGTGGCCTGGGTAGGGTCGAAGCGGAACTTAGTTTCAGAGAATTAGAAAAATCTTGGAGGGGAAGGCCGAAGAAGAAACAATTCATGATCAACCTTCTCAGAGTCTTTGTCAGTAACCCCATCCCCATCCTGACTTAACAGTTTCTATGGGAACAGCTCAGCATCTTGTGACTGGTGGATTCACTTCCTAAATTGGAGGCCATGACTTGAGGCCTTTGCAGTTTTCTGATTTAGGGGAAAGTGAAGAAAGGGAAAGAGAAGGTCATGCCTTTGTAATCATTCCGATGGCCTGCATCAATATTTTGGGGGCAGAATTAGCTTCTGGGTGGCCAGAGCCTTTGGTCTAACCCTGAGTGTCTGGGCGTTGTGCAGCAGAGCGAGAAAGCCCTGGCTGTTTGACGGGGTGTGTCCACCAGTGCTTCCTGGCACAGGTCGGCCGGGCTGCTTCACTTCTTGTTTCCAGAGATTCACGGCACCAGTCCCCCTCTGGTACCCAGCCTGACAGGGCCATGTTGGTGGGACCAAAGCTGTACTGTTGTTTATGACGTGTTTCATGTCAGTATTTCAGGCCCACCCACTGGGCTCCCCCTCCCAGATTGCCAAAGTTGTGGAGTCTGTTTTTCTTAGTTGAATGTCTTAGTTCTCTGGGATAGGTGAACAGATCTCAAGAGCAAGGAACATCATCGCAGGTCTGAGGAGGCTAGATTCCCAGTCCTGTTGGAGTTTTTTAAATCTGATTTAATGATCTGACCCTCCCACTCCTATCTCTGCCCCATCCGAGTCTGGCTGCTTTCCCAGGGGGCAGAGCAGCTGTGCCAAAAGGAACTCTAACGTGAAAAGCGCCCTTCACTTGTAGCTTGTGCAGGCCAGTCTTGCTTACCCCTTTAGATTAACAAAACTGCCTTCACTTGTCTCATTGGGATTAAAGGATCAGAATATCAAGAGAGATTGAAGGGGGAAGATGCCAGCCAACAGGCTGATCCTCTTAGAACCTGCCCTCTGATTCCTGCAGCTGAAGAGAAACCAAATGAAGGCGATTAGTCTCTGCCTGGGGTCCCCCTTCCCAAGTGGTACCACTAGCTGGGAACCTCGCCCCCTCCACCAGGCCCTCTCCCCAGCCTGTCCTTTAGGATTGCTGAGTCAGTGGTTAGATGTTCTTACGGCTCTTCTCTGAAACGGAGTTACTGCTCCTTCTTAGGCACCCCTGGCTCAGCCAAGCCCTGACCCACCTGACGGGTTTTCATGTGTGCCTAGCTGGGTGGTGGACTTGGAGAGGCACAGGGACAGCTTGGGGCTCCAGGGGGGCATTGAGGCAGCACTGATGCAGCTTAGGATTAGCAAGGTCAAGGTGACTGGCTTTCACCCATATGTTCCTCTGTATGGATTTCACTGAGCCTCGATTGCTGCCCCTTTTCATGGCATTTTGTTCTGGGATTTTGCTTTGAAAGTTAGGGCTCTTTCAGCCTTGTGGTGAGCAGTGAATTGTCCTCGTCCTCTGCTTCACTTTCCAGATTTTGCCCAGAAATTTCCCTGCAGTGCTTAGGAAGCTGCCTGGTAGAGCAGGTTTCTAAGTTTGAGGCGAAGCAGCTCTGGAAGCTGCCTCTGTCCTTGCTGTTGGAGGCAGTGATTTAAGTAGCAGTTGCCTAGAGATACATCCTTTCTGTTTTAATCTCAAAGAGAGAAAAACCCAGTCCCTGTAATCCCAGCTACTTCGGAGGCTGAGGCAGGAGGCAGGAGGCAGGAGAATCACTTGAACCCAGGAGGCGGAGGTTGCAGTGACCTGAGATCGCACCACTGTGCGATCTCTGTCTAAAAAAAAAAAAAAAAAAAAAAAAAAATAGAGAAACACCCTTGTCTTCCCCCCGGGGGTGCCAGGAGTTGGGCATAGAGCTCGAGGAAACCCTTTGTCCCCCTCCACCCCCCAGCATGTTGGGTAATCCCATAGCTTTTTTCCTTTTTCTCATACTCCCTAAGCAGCCATGCCTGATTAGCACCGGCAGCGGTAGGAAAGACACATCCGTTGGTGTAGACATAATTTCCTGCCTCAAATGTTGCTGTTCATTTTCTTTTCACCTTGTTTTCTCCTCTGGACAGCTTCTCAGAGAAGAAGGCGGAAGGGCTAAGTCTGGGCACTGCCTAGGTCATTGGCCCATCCTGACAGGGTCAGAGGAGGCCAATCATGTTGACTGGTGACTTGATAGGGTGGCATGTGACCCAAATAAAGGAAAACTAGGTTTTTGCCATGTAGTAAGTGCCAACACAGAGGGTGCACCCAGCCGGCACAGACTGTGGGGCAGGAATCTGTAATATCTCATGTGGGAAGCAGGAATACTTGCTTGGCCCCACCAGGAATCTGGAAAATGTCAAGAGGTTTCATTGCCTGAAAGAGCTACTTGCGGGGTGAGGAGAGGCCTAAGACTAGAGAAGAAGCGAGTAGATGAGCCAGTTTTACGATAGAGGTTGCGGATTTCACAGAGCGCTGAGCACCTTTCTTTGACAAGAAATCAAGTCTTAGGATCTATTTAAATGGGTGAGATCCAGTGATTTCTAGCAACCAACCTAGGTCTTCTGGGGTCTTAATACCAGAAGCAGGCTTAGCACAAAAGCTCCTTTGGACTCTAATCTGTTTTCTGCGTGGTGGTGTCAGGTTAAGTAGACTCACCTGCCTCTTTAAATCCTGATGGATTGACTGGGAACGGTGGCTCATGCTTATAATCTCAGCACTTTGGCAGGCCAAGGTGGGAGGATGGCTTGAGACCAGGAGTTTTGAGACCAGCCTGGGCAACATAGCAAGACCCTGTCTCTACCAAAAAAAATAAATAAATAAAAATAAACCCTGATGGGTGGTGTGAAAATGAGAAGGATGAACTAAACACGTCTGATGGGTCAAGAGGGGCCATGGAGCAGCACTGTCAGTTGCTTTGGGTGGGTTTGGGCAAGGCCTGATGTGAAACTCCAGAACCAGCTCCTGCATGAGGAGACCCCAGGGAGATCCAGTTAGACACTTACTGGCAGCTGGATTACGTGTAACCGTTGAGAAGGGTCCGTGTTGAGAATAACATCTGTCTCTGTCCTTTAGTATCAAGTGGGGCAGCTGTATTCTGTGGCTGAGGCCAGTAAAAATGAAACGGGTGGTGGCGAAGGCGTGGAGGTCCTGGTGAATGAGCCCTACGAGAAGGACGGTGAGAAAGGCCAGTACACACACAAGATCTACCACCTGCAGAGGTATGCGGCATGAGCAGCGGGGCCGGATGCTGGCTTTTGTGTGTGTGTGAATGAGTGTTATTTCCTTTATTGTTTTATATAGATGGGATTATACTAATTGTTATATCCTAACAATTAATAGTTATATACTGACTGTATAAATGTTATACTCACATTTATATAGATGGGAATATACTATTCCTTTTTTGTTGTTACTTATCATGGCCTCCTCTCCCAGCCTGTTCTGTCTGCCTCGGTCTCTGAAGTCCGTGTAGGATTCACAGTATCATGGGGGACAGAAGTGCTATAGGTTGTTGAACCCTCCTGTCTTGACGCATATTTCTAGTCATTTCCAGATGCCTACATAATCCAGTAAAACTCCTTCTGTGTAGATCTTCTGATGTACTTGTATATGCAGATTTTTAGCAAATATTCCTAAAATTGAATTCCTAGAATTGCTGGGCTGGTAGGGTTTTTAATTCTGATATCGTGAAATCGATCGCTAGAGAAATTTTGGTACCTCTCTTTGGATCAAAGGCATCAGCATTTTTAAATGAAGCTTGAACTGATTTGTGTACTGGAATCCATATCAAACTACACAAATTTGCTAAATCCCTAACGAAAACAGTAATGTTTCAGCAAACTGTGAGCAGACCCAAAGGGCGTTGATGGTATTAATTATACATCAGCTTGAGTGGAAGTCAAACCAAGCTAGTTTTAGAAGCTATCCAGAACTGGTAAAGGTAAACCTGAATCTTTTTAAAAATTGTGATAAAGTACACGTAACATAAAATTCACCATTTTAACCATTTTTAAGTATACAGTTCAGTGACATTTAAGTCCATCCACACTGCTGTGAAACTGAAAGCTGGATCTTAATTTCTAGTCTCTAAACTGAACTGAAATCAATTGACTTTCATTTGGAAAAAGCCCCACTTCACTGTGGTCTGTCACTTTGATGGTGTCAGAGGGTCCAGGACCTCAGTGCCAGGGTGCGAGGAGAGCAGTGCTGTGCAGTGGGGAGGAACCTCACCATCACCCAGTCTCCTCGCCAGAGGGTCCAGGACCTCAGTACCGGGGTGCGAGGAGAGCAGCGCTGTCCAGCGGGGAGGAGTCTCACCATCACCCAGTCTCCTCACCGTCACCCAGTCTCCTCGCCAGAGGGTCCAGGACCTCAGTGCCGGGGTGCGAGGAGAGCAGTGCTGTCCAGCGGGGAGGAACCTCACCATCACTCAGTCTCCTCACCAGCACACTTTTTCTCCATGTCTCGTTTTGCTCCTCCTCTGGTATTTGTATTTCTTAAAGAG